>NC_000001.11:246941697-247093212 GCF_000001405.40 Homo sapiens | reverse complement strand
CAAAAACTGCAATTACTTTTGTACTCACCTTATAGTAATTTGTGTGATTTCTTTTTTTCTTTTTATTAGCCTTGCTTGATAGTTATCAATTTTGTTGATCTTTATGAAGAAACAGCTATTGTTCTATTGAGTTCTTCTGTTGATTTTCTATTTTCAGTGCCATTGACTTGTCATCTTGTTGTTTTTATTTCTTTCGACTGAATTTGTTCTTTTTTCTTTAGTGACCTAAAGTAGAAAATTACATCATTGGGTGTATAATTTTATTTGTTTGTAATGTATGCATTCAACGTTGTAAATTTCTAAGCAATACTTTCACTGCATTCCAGAAGTTTTGATATTATATATTTTTATTTTCAGACTGGACACATGGTTCATGCTTATAATCCCACCACTTTGGGAGTCCTAGGCAGAAGGATTGCTTGGTGCTTGGAGCCAAGTGTTACAGCCTAGCCCGGGCAAAATAGAGACACTGTCTCTACAAAAAATTTTAAAAATTAGCCAGACGTAGTGGTACGCACTTACACTCCTAGCTACTCATGAGGAGGCTGAGGCAGGAGGATTGCTTGAGCCTAAGAATTTAAGGCTGCAGTGAGATATGATCATGCCACTGCACTTCAGCCTGGGTGATAGAGCGAAACCCTATCTTTTACATGTGTATGTGTGCGTGTGTGCTTTGTGTTGTGTGTATGTGTATATTTTTTCATTTTTAATATATTTAAAGCACCATAAAAGTGGAAAGGAACAATTGTTCTCTGAATTGACAGTGTGAGTTTTAATTCACAGTTGTAATAGCAAAAGATTAGAAATAATTCAAGTACCTATTTAGAAAATATTGGATAAATGGCCTCATCATACACACTTAAAAATGAGGGGCAGCATTTATTGATATGAAAAGATTTGCAGGATTTGTCAATTGAAAATAACATATATTGCAATGTTTACACCATTTTACCTTTCTACAGCTGTTATGGTCATCTGCAGAGGCAGGTGGCCCCCAGCCACAAGTCCATAATTGAGGTCTTTGGGGAGAGCAGGGCAGGACTCTCAAACAGGCGAAAAGTGGCCTGAGAGCGTAAGAAAAGGAGAATAGCTTAGGTTTTTGTTATGGTTTGGGGCCAGGGTGAGAGTTTGTATATGCATGTACTGAAGAAGAGCCTTGTGTAGTAGTTTGCTTTTTCTGCTGGCACCAAAAGAGGAGGCACCCAGGCTTGCTTATCACCTTGAGTAGAGGTGGGGCATAGTGGCCGGACACAGTGGCTCATGCCTGTAATTCCAACACTTTGGGAGGCCGAGGAGGGCGGATCACAAGTTCAGGAGTTCAAGACCAGCCTGGCCAACATAGTGAAACCCCCGTCTCTACTAAAAATACAAAAATTAGCCAGGTGTGGTGGCAGGAGCCTATAGTCCCAGCTACTCGGGAGGCTGAGGCAGGGGAATTGCTTGAACCCAGGAGGCAGAGGTTGCAGTGAGCCCAGACCACACCATTGCACCCCAGCCTGGGTGACAGCACTCTGTGAGTCTCTGTCTAAAAAAAAAAATACAAATATTAGCTGGGCATGGTGGCGTGTGCCTGTAATCCCAGCTACTCGGGAGGCTGAGGCAGGAGAATTGCTTGAACCAGGACCCAGGAGGCAGAGGTTGCAGTGAGCCGAGATCACACCACTGCACTCCAGCCTGGGCTACAGAGCGAGACTCTCTCTCTCTCTCTCTCTCTCTCTCTCTCTCTCTCTCTCTCTCTCTCTCTCTCTCTCTCTCTATATATATATATATATATATATATATATATATGTATGTATATATGCCGGGCGCGGTGGCTCATGCCTGTAATCCCAGCACTTTGGGAGGCCGAGGCGGGCAGATCACCTGAGGTCAGGAGTTCGAGACCAGCCTGACCAACATGGAGAAACCCCAAAGTCTCTACTAAAAATACAAAATTAGCCAGGTGTGGTGGCGCATGCCTATAATCCCAGCTACTCGGGACGGTGAGGCAGGAGACGCTCTTGAACCCGGGAGGCGGAGGTTGCAGTGAGCCGAGATTGCACCATTGCACTCCAGCCTGGGCATGCCAAGAGCGAAACTCCATCTCAAACAAAAACAAACAAACAAAAAATATACACACACATACACACTTGAAGTGTTATCCAATCAGAACAGAGATTAAATGAGGACCTCATTTAAATCTGAATGGGGGTCCTTGTCACACCTGCCATTTTTTCACCTTTGCAGCTGGGCTTCTCTCTTCCCTGCTGGACTCTGCTATTTCCCACAAGGTGTTCAGAGAGTCTGCCCTGAATCCTACCACAAGGAGATGAGAAGCACAGAGTGACAGCAGCAGGAGAACATAAAGACACAGGTAACAGTTGTCCTCCTCCTGCAGAGTCCGGAGCAGTGTGCACCTACCGCTGGTGCCCTAGCTAAGCCTGGGGGCAACATGCCCGAGGATAGTCTGGGAGTGCTGCAGTCACGGTCCCCACAATAGGCACCCAGCCTGTGCCCTTGCACTCTGCATGACCGTGGCCATTGTCACCTCAGAGGTCCCTGGGTACAGAGCAATGCATCCTACCAGAGCCGCGTGTGAGGAAGGACCACGTGAGTCCCGGGGAATGGCTGAAGCCGTCCAGGAGGAGGTGGCCAGGACCGAGACTGATGCCTGTGTGGAGAAATCTGTGGGTGTGAGTGGCACTGTAGCGTCAGTGCCCGGGTTCTGCTGCTCCCCCTTCTCAAAGATCAGGGCCCAAGCAGGGGCTCGGGTGTGGCCCAAGCCACCACCCATGTGTGAGGCCATCATGGGGACCTGAACACGGTGTCTGCAGACCCCACCCATCCATCGGCCCCAATTCCTGGCCAGCTTCTGCCAAAGTGAGAGGCTGGAATTTGGAAGATGGCTGTAAGCTGAAGCCTGTCCCCTGTCCCCCAGTGGCTGACATACAGCGGTGACACTCTGATGCTACCTTGCCCTCACCTAGCTCGCTCGTACCTGGGATTCGAAGGGGTCTGCCCCAGGTTGCATGCCCACTGCCAATCAGAGGTGAGCACGTCGATGCCTCCTGGATGTGGGCGACTGGTGGTCAAGGCCTGGCAGTACGTGGAGGGCCTTCTCGGAGGGGCCATGGGGTCAGGGAATGGGATGGGACACTAACTCCACCCTGCACAGAAGCCGCAGCCCCCAGCCAAGCAGGCCCAAGGATTCCAGGTGCTGTCCACCCCACATGCGCACTGCCAGGCTCCAGGTGGCCTGGCGGAGAGGGATGGCCTGGTGGGCAGCTGAGAAGCCAAAATAAAGGGGGCGTGCACTGCCTGCCATCTGCAGTCTGGCAGCCACGAGCAGGGAGGCTGTTGCCTGTTGAGCCAGGGGGATTGGGGAAGGGCAGGCAGCCCAGTCGGCCTGATTTACCAGTGAACGAGCTGGGGGTGGAGCCGCTCCTGGCTGAGGGCTGGGGCTGGGGCAGTCTGTTTGGACCTCCTGGGCTCCAGGCTGCCAGCTGCCTCCCCAGGGTCTGAATGTCCTACTGTGACCTGTTTCCTCACCTGGCCCAGAGGACAGATAGGGAAGGCTTGCTTTGAGGATTAGGCAGGGTAATCCCAGTAAGCTCTCATTACCTTGCCCATCCTCCAGGTCTTTTTGATTTCTTTTTTCTCTTCTTTGTTATGAAACTTTGGAGAATTGTCCTCCAGCACGTCTTCAGCTGGGGAGGTGGAAAGGCTGGACCTTGCCCTTGACTTCCGGGCCCCTTCTGGGTGCCCCCTCCTCTTAGGCTTTTTAAAAGCATATACTTAGCACCATACTATGTACCTGAGAGAGCCGCAGAGAACCTCCTGCGTGTCCAAACCAGAACACTTTGTTCCCTGACCCCAGGCCCTCATCACACCCCCAAAGCCCAAATACTTTCAGGCGGCCAGCTTCAGACAAGAGTCTCAACTTGATGCTTGTTTTCTGGGGTCTACACAGGCCCTTATGATGGAGCTACCTCCGTTCCACCCTGTGCCTCCCCCAGTCCATTAGGGGCCTCAACTCTAGTGATCCCTCACTGGGAGCAAGGTTCCCCAGGCAGGGAACGCAGCCCTCCCCAGGATGCTGGCCTGGCCATGTCCTGATGGACATCAGTCCTGGAGCAAGAGGTCCAAGGCAGGGAGTTTCACCCCCCATTTCACCGGGTGTGGTGACCTTTCTGGGTTCCTAGCCTTCAAGATGGGATTTTTACACTGTGCCACAGTGGGGGAAACTGAGGCACAGGGCCAGTGAGTGGTAAAGAAACAAAATCTCTGTGACTAGGAAGCGTGTCCCTCGCCCAGCGCAGCCGCTCCAAGATAGCATCCTTTGGGATGCACCGCTGAGCTGTTCTTGGCACGTGGCATGCACTGTGGTGGAGGTCAGCAGCTTGTGGAGTTGGGGTTGGGGGTGCTGGCAGAAGCAGGTAATTTGGGACCCACCATGGGGAGGAAGGGGACATTGCCCCTTTCCCCACACCTTGGGCACAGCAGGAATTTTCTTCTCTGATGTGTGTGGGCACCAATGCCTATGTGGATGTGGATGTGTCCTCCCCTTTTGTTGACGAAGAAACTTCCTGCAGCCGTTGGGGTGGGTATGGGCACCACATGTGCCTGGCAGCAGGGTGGGGCCTGTGGAGGCTCGGCTAGTCTGTGTCCCACTGCCTCCTCCCCAGGGGAGGCAGACCCTGTGCCCTTAGTGCCCTCATACCCCATCCCTCACATTCTTCAGTTGGCATCCCCCTGCCTGATTCTCCCAACTCAGCCCCTGCCAGGTTTCTCCAGGCCCTGCGGGCCCTGGGATGGGATCAAAGGAGACAGCAACTGTGCTCCCTGCCTCTGCCTGACGTCAGGGATCCCTGGCTGCTATGGCATCTGGTGGGCAGGGTAGGTGGGGAGGTCAGGGGTCAGCTTCTCCATTCCCCAGCCTGCATCGGCTAAGCCGCCAAGTGTAACTGGCCTGGAGGCTGATCTGTGCCCTCCACAGTCCCTTGATGCATTATATTGAAGCCAATCCTTGTGTGAATGACATGACCCGTTGTTATTGCCCAGATCAAACCAGAACCAAAGGACTGTTGCACTTGGGCCCAGAGCCTTGGGCTGAAGCTGCCATGACCACCCTGTTCTCTTCCTTCTGGAGTCCCCAGGACGCTCCCAGGACTGAATGATCCCCACAAAACACAGTGGCCAGGATGGGAGGGGTGGAGGTCAACTCCCCCCCGCTCCTGCCACCACAACCAAGAGGCCATCATGGAGGTTGGCCCTGAGCTGTGGGTTCCTGTGGGATGCAGGCTCCCACGGATACTTCAGGGGATGAGCCTGGGTCCTCCCCTCCTGGCTGACAGGAGCCTGGTGGGCAGTGGGTATGTGGGGCCCGTGTAGGGGGGTTGGGCAGCACTGGGCCTGGCCAGGGAGCCAGGGACTGGTGTGGCCAAAGTGGGCAGCAATATGTTGCCAGAACCAAAACTACAGTGCAACCAGCCCAGCTGGTAGGGAGGAGGAGGCTTGCCTAGCAGGACCATCCACCCCTGTCCTGGCCCCAAGTCCAGCCTGCCTGCCTGTCCTGGCCATTGCCTTGTCTGGGAGGCCTGGGCATGATGGTCAGGTGGTGTGTCCCTGGGTTCCAGGCCTTGGTGGTCCCTTGGGAGCTGAGCATCCTCTGGGCAGGGGGAGGGCCCAGGGTCCACTGTTTGCATCTGCCCCTGGGGCTGTGCCTCCACTCCAGCTTCTCAGCCCTCATGGGGATGTGGCCAGGGCTCCTCACCTGCTCTGTGGCTCCAGCTCTGATCAGCTCACTTGGCGACTCTGACAGCTTCCTCCCCAAAGCTGGGGTCCTCATCTGTGAGAATGGGGTGTCCCAGGCCCCCTGCAGGCAGGAACCCACCCCCAGCTACTCTGGTGGGCCCTCCTGGGGCTTTCTTACCTACTGGCTTGTGAGACCCAGTTGGCCAAACTTGGTGTCCTATTTTTATTTTGGCCTTTTTCTTAGTGTGTGTTTTCTGTAACTACTGCTGTGTGGAACTTCTATATGAGTTTTAGGTAGAGAATCTTGTCCACCCAGAGATCCCCCACCCCAGAGAGCCTCCACTTCAGCCCCCGCTGGGCTGGTCCTGCCTGTGCTCTGCTTGGTGTGAATGTTGAGTGTGATGGATCCACACTGCTGCTTGACCCTGCATCTCCTTCCTTCTTGTTGCTGAGGCCAGTTCTGTTCTCTCTTTCTCCACCTGAACTGCGCTTGAAGCCAAGATGAAGGATGAGAAGTGGTTGCTTAGAAGGACCCGTCCTGCAGTGAATCTGCTGTGAGGAGGCTGCGCTGGCCCAGCCTGTCGTTTCCTTCTTTTTTTTTTTTTTTTTTGAGATGGAGTTTTGCTCTCGTTGCCCAGGCTAGAGTGTAGTGGTGCAATCTCAGCTCGTTGCAACCTCTGCTTTCCAGTTTCAAGAGATTCTCCTGCCTCAGCCTCCGGAGTAGCTGGGATTACAGGCAGCCGCCACCATGCCCAGCTAATTTTTTTTGTATTTTTAGTAGAGATGGGGTTTCACCATGTTGGTCAGGCTGGTCTCAAACTGCTGACCTCGTGATCCACCCGCCTCGGCCTCCCAAAGTGCTGGGATTACAGGCGTGAGCCACCGCACCCAGCATGTCATTTCCTTCTCTAAGCTCGTTCCAGAGGTCGGCAAGGGGCAGCCTGTCCCTGCCTGATCTTGTGGTCCATGAATCAAGAATGGATTTCACATTTCCAAATGGTTGAACAAATAAAAAAATAATACTTTATGGCACTGAGAAGTTTCCATGTCCCTAAGTAGAGTGTTATGGGGCTGCCGTCATGCCCACCTCTTCACAGGCTGTCTCAGAGGGCTGCTGTCGAGCAGCCATGGCAGAGTTGCATCCTCGAGGCAAGGATCAGTTGGCAAAGCTGAAAATACTGACTCCTGGCTCTTTAGGGAAACAGTTTCCAGTGCCTGGTTAAAGGGCTGTGTGGCAGGACCCCAGGATCTTGGTCAGATTGTTCCTCACTCAGGGCCTGCTGTGGCCTTCGCTGCTATGTCTGCAAAGTCTGGGTGCTATGGTGACTCTCATGGGGGCGTTGAGCTCTGTCATGCTAGATTTCAGGGTGTCTGCCTCATGGTCATCTGTCTCACCAACAGAGACCCTGTGGCCAGATTCAAACTAGCAGGAACAGTTGGTCTTTGGCAGCAGGGATACCTTAGAGCTGAGCTGCCACTCACCCAGAGGTGGTCCCATGCCACCCACTGTCTGGGTCAAGGTTGGGGCAGGGCTGGTGTCCTGAACTGCATTCTGATGGGGCCCCAGTGGCTGCTGGTGCTGAATGCCTTGCAAGAGAACGCTGAGGCCAACAGCCGCTGGCAGCGGCTCACCCAGGTTATGTGTACTGTGCCCTTCTGTGTGCGAGTGACAGGTGAGTGCCTGCAGGGGTCACCTGTGTGGCCCCTGTGTGGCCCTCCTGTGTGGAGGGGGCCAGAGGTTAAATTTCCCTGAGCAGCTGTGTGGTCCAGGAGCAGCCAAGGGGTCTCTGGAGGTGTGGCTGCCACAACCCTACCCTGAAGGTCTTGCTTGTCATTGGTAGAGAGGAGAGGACCCCCAGGAGGTGCTGCCTGAGGGGCTCCATTCCCGCTTGTGAGGGGCGCCTAGGGTCCTCCTGGGGCGAGTCAGAGCCTGAGCCCTTGGGGTGAAAGTCCCTTCCCCCAGCTGAGAAGCAGCAGGCACCGGGGCGTGGGCTGCCTCAGGGCCCCCGCCCACTCACACCCTCTCCTGCATTACAGGTGCTCCCTCCTCAGGAGGTGAGGAAGATGGGAGGATGAGTCTAAGACACAGGTGAGACCAGATTCCAGGCACATAGGCTGGCCGGGGGTGAGGCCTGCTTCCCACACAAGCCCTGCGCTCAACAGGCAGGTGAGGGACTGAGGCCTGGGGCATGACCTCCTTGGGGTCAAATCCAGGGTTGGGTCACCTCGGGATGAAAGAGGGGCTGGGCCATCAAAATGGCTCTGGGTCCCTGGCCCTGGGGTCTGTGTGCCAGGCTGGAGGTGGGAGGGAGACACTCATGCTGCAGATGAGGAGAGTGAGGCACAGGGCTCTTTGGATTCCAGGAGCTGTGACAAGGCCAGGGCTTTGGTATTGAATGTGGGTGAGAGGGGCAATCGCAGGTGTGAGTACAACAGGGCGGGACGGGTCAGGTGGTTGCCCATCAATGATAGACTGAATAAAGAAAAATATGGTACATATACACGATGGAATACTACGCAGCCATAAAAAGGAACGAGATCATGTCCTTTGCAGGGACGTGGATAAAGCTGGAAGCCATTATCCTCAGCAAACTAACGCAGGAACAGAAAACCAAATGCTGCATGATCTCACTTATAAATTGGGGCTGAATGATGAAAACACATGGATATAGGGAGGGGAACAGCACACACTGGGGGCTGTCAGGAGGTGGGATTCAGGGAAGGAGAGCATTAGGGAAAAGAGCTAATGCATGCTGGGCTTAATACCTAGGTGATGAGTTGACAGGTGCAGCAAATCACCATGGCACACATTTACCCATGTGACAAACCTACACATCCTGCACATGTATCCTGGAACTTAAAAATTTTTAAAGTGTCTGTTCATGTCCTTTGCCAACTTTTTAATAGGGTTGTTTGTTTTTTTCTTGTAAATTTGCTTAAATTCCTTATTTACATTTGCTAAAATTCTTTATTCCTTAGATCTTTGTCAGATGCATAGTTTGCAAAAATTTTCTCCCATTCTGTAGGTTGTCTGTTAATAGTTTCTTTCACTGTGCAGAAGCTCTTTAGTTTAATTAGATACCATTTGTCGATATTTGCTTCTGTTGCAATTGCTTTTGGCATCTTTATCGTGAAATCTTAGCCCGTGCCTATGTCCTGAATGGTATTGCCTAGGTTGTCTTCCAGGATTTTTATAGTTTTGGTTTTTACATTTAAGTCTTTAATCTACCTTGAGTTAATTTTTGTATATGGTGTAAGGAAGGGGTCCGGTTTCAATTTTCTGCATATGGCTAGACAGCTATTCCAGGTGTTTGTTTGTCTGTTTGTTTTGAGATGAAAGTCTTGCTCTGTTGCCCAGGCTGGAGTGCAGTGGCACAATCTTGGCTCACCACAACCTCTGCCTCCCAGGTTCAAGCAATTCCCCTGCCTCAGCCTCCCAAGTAGCTGGGATTACATGTGCCTGCCACCATGCCTGGCTAATTTTTGTATTTTTGGTAGAGATGGGGGTTTCACCATGTTGGCCAGGCTGGTCTTGAGCTCCTTACCTCAAGCTATCTGCCCACCTCGGCCTCCCAAAGTGTGGGATTACAGGCGTGAGCCATCGCACCCAGCCCATTGCTGATTTTTGTCAGGTTTGTGGAAGATCAGATAGTTGTAGGCATGTGATCTTATTTCTGGGCCTTCTATTTGTTCCATTTGTCTATGTGTCTGTTCTTGTACTAGTACCATGCTGTTTTGGTTACTGTAGCCCTGTCGTATAGTTTGAAGTCAGGTTCCACGAGGCCTCTAGCTTTGCTCTTTTTGCTTAGGATTGTCTTGGCTATTTGGGCTCTTTTTTTGGTTCCATATAAATTTTAATACCAAGTCCTGGCAGAGACACAACAAAAAAAAGAAAATTTGAAGCCAATATCCTTGATGAACATCCATGCAAAAATCTTCAACAAAATACTGGCAAACTGAATATAGCAGCACATCAAAAATCTTATTCACCACGATCAAATAGGCTTCATCGCTAGCATGCAAGTTTGTTTCAACATATACAAGTCAATTAATGTGATTCATTGCATAAACAGAACTACAGAAAAAAACCACATCATCATCTCAATAGATGCAGAAAAGGCTTTTGATAAAACTCAACATCGCTTCATGCTAAGAACTCTCAATAAATTAGGTATTGAAGGAACATACCTCAAAATAATAAGAGCCATATATGACAAACCCACAGAAAACATCATACTGAATGAACAAAAGTTGGAAGCATTCCCCTTTAAAATTGGCACAAGACAAGGACGCTCTCTCTCACCACTCCTATTTAACATAGATATTGGAAGTTCTGGTCAGGGCAATCAGGCAAGTGAGAGAAATAAAGGGCATTCAAATAGGAAGAGAAGAAGTCATATGATCCCTGTTTGCAGATAACATGATCCAGTATCTAGAAAACCCCATGGTCTCAGCCCAAAAGCTTCTTAAGCTGATAAGCAACTTCAGCAAAGTCTCAGGATACAAAATCAATGGCAAAAATGTCTAGCATTTCTATACATCAACAACAGTCAAACAGAGCAAAATCATAAATGAACTCCCATTCACAATTGCCACAAAAAGAATAAAACACCTAGGAATACAGCTTACTAGGGAGGTGAAAGATCTGCACAAGGAGAACTACAAACCCCTGCTAAAGAAACCAGAGATGACACAAACAAATGGAAAAACATTCCATGCTCATGGATAAGAAGAATCAATATCATTAAAATGGCCACACTGCCCAAAGCAATTTTTGGATGCAATGCTATTCCCATTAAACTAACACTGATATTCTTCACAGAACTGTCTCTGTCCTGATTTTTTAATTTTTCTTTTTTCTTACTATAGGTTTACTTTGCCTGTAATCATACAAAAGATATTATGTCCAGCTGTCTCACTCAGCACATTCATGAGGCTCATCTAGGGCATGCTCTTCAGTTGTTTTTGTTCCTTTGTATCTCTGAGTAGTATTCTGTTGTAATGTTAGACTTGGAACCAACCCAAATGCCCATCAATGATAGAGTGGATAAAGAAAATGTGGTACATATGCACGAAGGAATACTATGCAACCATAAAAAAGATGAGTTCGTGTCCTTTGCAGGGACATGGATGAAGCTGGAAACCATCATTCTCAGCAAACTAACACAAGAACAGAAAACCAAGAACCACATGTTCTCACTCATAGGTGGGAGTTGAACAGTGAGAACACATGGATGCAGGGAGGGGAACATTACACACCAGAGCCTGTTGGGGGATGGGGGCTAGGGGAGGGATAGCATCAGGAGAAATAAATACCTAATGTAGATGATGGGTTGATGGGTGCAGCAAACCACCATGGCACGTGTATACCTATGTAACAAAACTGCATGTTCTGCACATGTACCCCAGAACTTAAAGTATAATTAAAAAATGCAAGAAAAAAAAAGGAAGCGTTTCTTTTATATATTGGTGATCACACATATACCACATCCATGTAGATTTCCCATTGCCATAAAGCAAATGGAAAAACACATAAGCTGACGGCAGACATTTCAAAAGTGATTGCGCCCGTAAGGGAGATCCGAATTACAACTTATGTTACAGTTATAGAACTTACATTTAAAATGTTTTTCAATACAATGAGGGAAACAGAAAAAATATAATAGTGTGCAAAGAACAAGAAACTCTCCGCTTGACAAGCCATATTTGGAAAAGAGCTAAATATGAAGTAAATAATTGAAAATGTAATTAATATGCTTAATATACAACATATGGGTTAAATGTTAAGTTATTCTGAGCTGATGAGAACATTACTTAACTGGTATATTGAGCAAAATAAAAATAGTAGAAGGAGAAAAAATATAAAATACAAATATAATTAAACATAGAAGTGAAATGAGAGAGAATAAAACAAATCTAATTGTTTTTCTAGACTATATTAAAATAATTCAAGTAAGTACTCAAAGAGTCGGTGATTTATAAGTTTTTAAAATTGAACATCAGACATAAATCCTTGAATTCAGAAATGCAATGTGTCAAAAAAAATTACTTAAATAATAGTCAAGGTGCATAACACCAAAGAGAAGGAAAACACTAAAAATCAGAGAAAAAAAGAGATAATTTACGAAGATGAGAGCAAAATTTCCACAGCTTGAGTAGAGCCAAAAATAATGAAATAAATATTAATGGACCTGGCAAAAATTGTCACGTAAGCAAGAAGTGAATACTTACCTACCTAACATGCCTTTAACAAAAAAGGGTGAGGCCGGGCGCGGTGGCTCACGCCTGTAATCCCAGCACTTTGGGAGGCCGAGGCGGGCGGATCACGAGGTCAGGAGATCGAGACCATCCTGGCTAACACGGTGAAACCCCGTCTCTACTAAAAATACAAAAAATTAGCCGGGCGTGGTGGCGGGCGGCTGTAGTCCCAGCTACTGGGGAGGCTGAGGCAGGAGAATGGCGGGAACCCAGGAGGCGGAGCTTGCAGTGAGCCGAGATTGCACCACTGCACTCCAGCCTGGGCGACAGAGCGAGACTCCGTCTCAAAAAAAAAAAAAAGACAAGAAAACATAAAAATAGAAGAAAACGTTGATAAATATTTCTACAAGCTGTGAGGATAAATCGGGCTTATGACTAAAACCAAGAAATATTAAATTAAAACATTGATAAAGATACAATATAAAACCAGAATATTGTGAGTGTTAGGAAACGCCATAAGCCAAGTAAAAAGGAAAATGCCAAATGGTCATCTTTTTGCAACGTATATAACAGAAAAAGGGAAGCACACAGTTTCTGTCTGCTCCAGAAAATAAGAAAGCTCTCAAAACATATGGTACAAGGACAAAGGAGGCAATGTATAGAGCCCCTCACTTACGATGGGACAATTTGGCCGGGCGCGGTGGCTCACGCCTGTAATCCCAGCACTTTCGGAGGCCGAGGTGGGTGGATCACCTGAGGTCAGGAGTTCCAGACCAGCCTGGCCAATATGGTGAAAGCCTGTCTCTAGTAAAAATACAAAAATTAATCAGGCGTTGTGGTGGGTGCCAGTAATCCCAGCTACTCAGGAGGCTGAGGCACGAGAATCGCTTGAATCCGGGGGGCAGAGGTTGCAGTGAGCCGAGATCATGCCACACTGCACTCCAGCCTGGGCAACAGAGTGAGACTCGGTCTCAAAAAAAAAAAAAAAAAAAAGGGATAATTTGAGCTCAAAAAATAGATACAGACTGCAGTGTATGGAATCTCATTAAATACACAAAAAATAAGGTTAGAAAAAAGTCACTCACATTTTTTTTGTTTGCTGAGGCCACGCCGTCATTGTTATGACAATTGATTAAAGGGAGAATCAAGCTTTTATTCTTCCTTTCCTAATAGGGTAGGTTTTAATGTAATGGAGAGAGTTCATGAGAAAACGCCATTTTTAATAGAAGAATGAGAACTAATACCTGTAGAGAAAATAATTAGAAAACCACTATTTGGCAACTCTCACTGAGATAAGTGAAATTAAGAAATAGTAATCAATAAATAATGAACAGTTACATGAAAGGAACAGGCAGACATTCCCGAACAACCTTAAAATAAAGTGGTAAAACCAGACACGTGTATCCAAATGTGCAGGCTGAATTGAAACATGCTGGAAGCTTAATATATAGAGTGATTTTTCATTAATAATATATCGATTGTAAGGCCGTCTGAGCAGGCTGCGCCATGGTCAAGCCATTGTGATCCCTGTGACCCACACGTGTACATCCAGAAGGTCCTGGAGCCAGAAAGTCTGGGACAACAGGAAAACCACAAAGGAAGAAAAACGGCTAGTTTCTGTCTTAGCTGATTAGCCAACCTTGCAGCATTTTACCGTTGTGACGTGCACTACCCTAACTGATCAATCAGCCTAGTGACACTGTGACCCCTCCCTCTTGTGACAATGTACTTTGTGACATTCTTCCCCCGCCGGTAATAAACGGCCCCTGACTGTAACTTTCCACTGCTTACCCCTCACCTATAAAACTAACTCCAATCCCACGACCCTCCGCTGACCCTCTTTTCGGACTCAGCCCGCTCGCACCCGAGTGAGTAAACTAGCCTTGCTGCTCACACTTAACCTGTTTGGGTAGTCTCTTCAATTAGGCGCGAGCTTAACATCGATCATATATTGAAACAATATTTTTGGATATATTTGGTTAAATAAATCATTGTAATCAATTTCACGTGTTGTTTTCTTTTCTATTGCTACTGGAACACACGCGGCTCACATTTTATTTCTATGGGGCGTTGCTACCTGAGAGGACATTGTCTTTTCAAAATTCAAGCTGCCTCTAATCCCACTAGAAGCAAGAAAAAAAAAAAAATTCAGGCTGCCTCCTCAAAAGACCAGAGGCCAGGAAGGTTGTGAAATCTGAAATTTTAGAATAATTGTCATCATAGTGTTTCCAATTGTAAATATCACAAATATTACTCATAAATGGACATAATCCTGTGTATGAGCTTGAATGGGAAAGTCCCCCGGGGGGCGCCAGGTCTCAGCACAGGGCAGAATCCATGCCTTAGAAAAGGACTGCAGGGAAAGAACCTGGCCTCACTCAGCGCCGTGTCTGATTGCATCTCCCGTCACTCAGGACTGAAGGGGCGGGGCCTAAGGCCCTGTCCAATCGGGCGCTGGGAAGGGGACTGTACTCTCAAGCGCGCCGCGAAAGGAGGGAGCAGCTTCCGGGACCTGGCGCGGCTTTTGTGTTGGGCAGCGCGAATGTGGCGAGCTCGGTGCGTCTCCGCTGCTCCTTCCCCTTATCCCTGGGAGGTCCAAGTGGTCCCGCGGCAGCTTCTGTTGCTCTGGGACCTGCAGGTCCCGGAAGGTCCTTAGGGAGGACCCCAGACACCGGAGACTGGGAAATGGTGAGTGTGCCGGCCAGGTGTCTCGGGAAGGGGAAAAGGGAACCGCCAGGAAGCGGTTGTGGCGAACCCGGACCTCCCCGCGGTGCCGACCCGAGTTTCCGCCGGCGCCTCGCGGCCTTAGTGGCACAGGATGCGGGGCTGGACCCGCAGCCAGACCCCGGGCCGCCTGGCTTGTCCCTGCCCCGCCGCTTCGGCCAGGCCCGGAACCCTTTCTGGGCAGCTCTGCCTCTGTAGACCCGCATCTCCCTCGGATCGTGCGGTGCCGACGGGAGGGTCCTCAGGGGAGAGTCCCGACTTGGGGTTCGGGGTTCCTGCGTGGGAGGAGCTGTGGTCTGTGAAGTCTCCAAATCCTCCTTTCTCCTGTTAGAAAGAAAACTGAGGCGCCGTTAAAATATTAAGGAGTTTATTTGAGCAGAGAGTCGTGAGTTAGGAAGCCACCAGCGTGGTTTGTGGTTTGGGGAAGGAAAGGGTTTTTTGTAAGGAACCCGAGGAAGCAAACCCAATTAAATAATTGATCGTGTACAGTTATGTAGTCACCCCATATAGACTGTGCAGCCAGATATCTCCTGGTTATGTAACCAGAGGTTAATTGGTGGGTTCGTGGTTGTTTAAGGCTGTTTTGTTTCCCTTTAAGTTATTAATTTACAAGACAAGCATGAGTTACGTTTTGGTTGGTTGTTTATTCATTCATGTGTGTATGTACATGTGTATGATGGAGTCTTGGACTCGGGCTCAAGCGATCCCCCCACCTCAGTCTCCCTAGTGCCTGTGTTTAATTATTTTCACATAACACTCCACATTTCTAAGTGTATGGCAACAGGATCTCACATCAACGACCCTGTTCCCACAGCCTAACTCTTCTGGGGCTTGTAGTAAAACCCTAAATTTCCAATTCTTTTCCTATATTCAAATGCAACATTATCAAGTATTTGTCTTTTATTGTACATTTCATACAGATGAAGTGTGTTATTTTTTTCAGAGTAGTGAGTCGTTCTGAAAATATTTGTTTTCACTCTTAAAATATTTCTGAACATTACACATGAGTGGAAAGCAGAAAATAATCACCTGACAGTTAATTGTAGAAAAAAAAAGTCTTTGTGCATCTCCTAATTTTATCTTTTTTGAGTGTGCACATCTTACCAGAGTATCTTTGGGGTGAAGTTCCCTTTTGGAAACTTTAGAGGGTGATATGTCCTCAGCCACCCTTATATCTTTTCTTGGTCCTCTGTTTAGCAGCCAGATCTCTTGGAGTGTCTAATGAATACCTTCTCCTGGGTCATCTCCTCACAGAGGACAGTTTAAAATATGGAAGTAGAGCCTCTCCAGGCAGCATCTGGGTGCCCTGGAGTTGAGAGACGTCTCCTAGTATACTCTTCGTTTAAAAAACAAATCCCTGGTGCATTGGGATTTTCTTCCTCCAACCCCAGTTTTCATCATTCCTTGGAGACACGTTGGTGGCAGCCAGTCAGATGCTGGTATTAAGGGAAAAATCTAGAAATGATTCCTGCGCTCTGGATTTTCTCGGACTTGGGAAAGGAGAAAAACTATCTCAAAGGACAAGGAATACCCACCCCAGTGAGGTGGTGCAAGAACCAGAAAAGCACCATCATCAGAATTATGTAAGAAGAGAGTTGGCTGGGCGTGGTGGCCCACGCCTGTAATCCCAGCATTTTGGGAGGCCAAGGGAGGCAGATCACTTGAGGTCAGGAGTTTGAGACCAGCCTTGCCAGTATGGCAAAACACTGTCTCTACTAAAAATACAAAAATTAGCCCAGTCTGGTGGTGCATGCCTGTAATCCCAGCTACTCAGGAGGCTGAGGCAGGAGAATCGCTTGAGGCCAGGAGGTGGAGGTTGCAGTGAGCTGAGATGGTGCCACTGCACTCCAGCCTGGGTGACAGAGGGAGACTCAGTTTGAAAAAGAAAAAAAAAAAAAAGAGAGTTTATTCTAAAGTATTGCAATGGGGAAAAACACCAGGTATAAGAGCTGCAAGCATGTTAAAGTTTAGGCAGAAAAGGGCTTAGAAATTCAGGCACACAGGCCAGGTGCGGTGGCTCACGCCTGTAATCCCAACACTTTGGGAGGCCGAGGCGGGCGGATCACGAGGTCAGGAGATCGAGATCATCCTGGCTAATGTGATGAAACCCCATCTCTACTAAAAATACAAAAAATTAGCCGGGCATGGTGGCGGGCGCCTGTAGTCCCAGCTACTCAGGAGGCTGAGGCAGGAGAATGGCGTGAACCTAGGAGGCAGAGCTTGCAGTGAGCTGAGATCACGCCACTGCACTCCAGCCTGGGTGACAGAGCAAGACTCCGTCCCAAAAAAAAAAAAAAAATTCAAGCACACAGTGGGGCACAGTACAGTGTCTCCTGGGAGGGTGGTCATTGAGTATTTCTGTGAGGAGAATGGGCCTGTGAGGATCTCCAAAGTGATGCAGTGACCTGACCTGACTCTTGACCCAGAGATGTCTGTGTTCTGCCAGCATGACCCCTCCCTGAGTTTATTGCCTTGAAAAGATTTATTCACTTAGTTCAGTTTCAGTTTTTCATTAACTTTAAAATATGTTTTATTCAGAGAGCTTGAAAGATTAAAAAAAAATATTTCCAAAGAGACAAGAAGGAGGTGGATTTCAAGGGGGCAAAAATCTATTCATATTCCATTTGTTAAAAATTCTTGTTAACCTTTTTCTTCCCAAGAGTGAGTGTAGTAAGTTTCTCAAGTCTGTTCTTTTTTGAAGGAGATTTCAAATGGAATTCTAGGACTTTGCTTTGGGAATGTGTATTAGTTTGTTTTCATGCTGCTGATAAAGACATACCTGAGGCTGGACAATTTATAAGAGAAAGAGATTTAAAGGACTTATATTTCCACATGGCTGGGGAAGCCTGACAATCATGCGGAAGGCAACAAGGAGCAAGTCACGTCTTACGCGGATGGCTGCAGGCAGAGAGAGAGAGAGCTTGTGCAGGGAAACTCCAGTTTTTAAAACCATCAGATCTCATGAAACGTATTCGCTATCACCAGAACAGCAGGGGAAAGACCTGCCCCCATGATTCAATTACCTCCCACCACGTTCCTGCCACATGTGGGAATTGTGGGAGTTACAATTCAAGATGAGATTTGAGTAGGGACACAGCCAAACTATATCAAAATGTTACCAGGGAAAAATATGAAAAATCTCTTTTCCATTATGGCTGCAGAAAAATGAATACATTTCCACAAGCAAGTGTTGTAGATAAATTGGTGAATTATAAATATTTATCAAAACATCAGTGCCTCCTTTTTGCAGGGTGGAGAATTTATAACAGTGGATAACCCTGTTTTTTATCCTGTTATCTGGACATTGGAGTTTAATGCTAAGTTTTATGGGATAGGACTTGGCAACTCCTGGAGATGATTTGTTATCATGGAAATAATAAATAAATGACATATTTATTATATGATAGGGATAGATACTTTGGCTTTTCCAGTTGAGGTATTAAACGTAAGTGCCTCACTCAGTTCTTCCTTGGGAGCCTCCCTTTACAGATGTCCCAGCCTGCTCACCTCAGCCATGAAAGGAGCTCTTTATATTGAGAGAAGCTACAGAGTTCTGGAAATCTGGTGTTCACAGGTGGATGTGGTTGGGCCTGGATTGAAAGGATGAGATCCCCTTTTTAAGGGTGTAATTTTCATTGTCCTGGCATTCTTTCTAGACATTATTCAATAAAGCAGGGGTCCCCAACCCCTGGGCCATGGAGCAGTACCTGTCGGTGGCCTGTTAGGATCCAGGCCATGCAGCAGGAGGTGAGCAGCAGGTGAGTGAACATTACCACCTGAGCTCCTTCTCCTGTCAGATCAGTGGTGGCTTTAGAATCTCAGAGGAGCACGAACCCTACTGTGAACTGTGCATGGGAGGGATCTAGGTTGTGTGCTCCTTATGAGAATCTAATGCCTGATGATCTGAGGTAGAACAGTGTGGTCCCAAAACTATCCCCACCATCCATGGAAAATCTGTGTTCTATGAAACTGATCCCTGATGCCAAAAAGGTGGGGAACTGCTGCAATAAAGTAAATTCAGAATTATGTAAGAAGGGAGTTTATTCTGAAGTATTGCAATGAGGAAAAACACTGGGTATAACAGTGGCAAGCATGTTAAAGGTTAGGCAGAAAAGGGCTTTCTTTCATAGGAAGGAGCAAACTAGATTAGAAAAAAGAGGAGAGGAAGAGGGCCGGATGGATTCTAGATCAGAGAACATTTCACCCTGAGGTCAGCCTGTTCACAGGAGAGGCATAAAGAGGGGTTGTATGTTGGCTCAGGCTGAGGGTATATCAGAGTTCAGGGGCCTGAGGGAAGGAGGGAAACTTAAGTAAAATTTGGTTAGCAAGTATTTTGTTCTGACCACTGAAGACAAATTTGGTCAGCTAATTAGTTAAGAGGCGAAAAAAAAATTACGCTGTCTGTTTCTGGCTTTATTGTACGTAAAGGAAGCATCATCTAAGTCATAATGAGAAGGTGTTTGTTTTCACCAAGCTGTTCCTGGAGAACACAAAGAATGTTTTTGTTGTTTGTTTTTTAACTTGCATATATTTAACAGGATTACCTACTCACCCCATCTTCCCCTGCTATGTTCCCGTGTCCTCTACAACTCTTCCATTGAGTTGTTCCTGAGTCACATCTTGTATAATACACTGGTAAACATCAGTAAATTGTTTTTGCTGAGTTCTGGGCATAGTTGTTTTTCACGTTATCAAACCTGAGGAAGGGGTGATGGGAACCTCTGACTTATGAGCAATTGGTCAGAAGGATAGATGGGCCCCTCAGGCTTGCAACTGGCATGTGCAATGTGGGCAGTGTTGTGGAACTGATCTGTGAGCTTATGGGGTATGTGTTGACTCTGAGTGGTGTTGGAATTTAATTGTTGGACAATTAGTAGGTGTTGGAGAATTGGTTGGTGTTCAGCAAAGTCCACACATTTGGTATCAGAAAAAGGACTCACAGATCAGAGCCTTCACCTGACTCTGGGAGAGTGGTCACTGGTGAGAATTGAGACCCTGGAGAAGAAAGCATTTCCTCACTGTGAGCAGGGGATAAATAGGGTGTGTGGAGCTCCCAGAATTAAATTTCCAATTGCTCAGGCTTCCTTCACTCATTCCCTAGGAATGAACCACCTTGGGCTGTATCTCCACCTTGAGAGTGGCCCCCAAGCTTGCCTTCACTCATTCCCTAGGAATGAACCACCTTGGGCTGTATCTCCACCTTGAGAGTGGCCCCCAAGCTTGGGAACCTATTTAACCTACTGAGCACAGGGTTCATCTTTATAAAATCTTGCTGGGTTATCATTCCAGTTTGGGTAAGTATTTAAGAATTTTATTCCATGATTTGAATGTGAGATTTTGATTTTCTTGGTTGAAAAATGAGTGAATTGGGTGATATGACCTGAAAAAATCGTAGATAATTCTTGGAATAAATTGTTTTATGCTAAGTTTAAATGATAAGACTTTAAAGTCATGGGCTCACCGTCCAGGTGAATAAACAGACCTTGTGCAGTTCTGGTGTTCTGATCTTTTCTAACTTCTGCTCAGAGATGTGACTGCAGTTTTGATTATTTTTTCTTATTCTTTGTAGATTAACTATCATGAAGCAGAATTTTGCTCTTTTTTTATGGCTGCATAGTTTTACCTCTTGAGTTTTTAGTAGCTTAATGTTACTATTAGTACACCATTAATACTGTGCCGAAAAGATGTTTGTGTGTGTGTGTGTATGTGTGTGTATGCATATATATATATATATATATATATATATATATATACACACACTTTTTTTTTTGAGACAGAGTTTCGTTCTTGTCGCCCAGGCTGGAGTGTAATGGCACAGTCTCGGCTCACCACAACCTCCGACTCCCAGGTTCAAGCAATTCTCCTGCCTCAGCCTCCCAACTAGCTGGGATTACAGGCATGCACCGCCATGCCCAGCTAATTTTTTTGTATTTTTAGTAGAGACGAGGTTTTGCCATGTTGGCCAGGCTGGTCTCGAATTCCTGACCTCAGGTGATCCTCCCGCCTTGGCCTCCCAAAGTGCTGGCATTACAGGCGTGAGCCACTGAGCCTGGCCTGTGGTTTCTTTTTTTAAGTATATATTAATTTTTGTTTGAAATAATAAGGCTAGGCACAGTGGCTCACCACTGTAATCTCAGCACATTGGGAGGCTGATGTGGGCGGATCACTTGAGTTCAGAAGTTTGAGACCAGCCTGGGCAACATGATGAGACCCTGCCTGAACTTTAAAAAAAAAAAAAACAAAACCAGGCATGGCAGTGCGGAGCTGTGGTCTCGGCTGCTTGGGAGGCTCAGGTGGGAGGATCACTTGAGCCTCAGAGTTCCAGGCTGCAGTGAGCTGTAATTGCACCATTGCACTTTAGCCTGGGCAACATAGTGAGACGCTGTTTAAAAAAAAAAAGTGGCTGGGCGCAGTGGCTGACACCTGTAATCCCAGCACTTTGGGAAGCCAAGGCGGGCAGATCACGAGGTCAGGAGATCAAGATCATCCTGGCTAACACGGTGAAACCCCGTCTCTACTAAAAATACAAAAAATTAGCCAGGCGTGGTGGCGGGCACCTGTAGTCCCAGCTACTTGGGAGGCTGAGGCAGGAGAATGGCATGAACCTGGGAGGCGGAGCTTGCAGTGAGCCGAGATTGCACCACTGCACTCCAGCCTGGGCAACAGAGTGAGACTCCATCTAAAAAAAAAAAAAAAGAAAGAAAGAATAAAACTGTGAAAGGAAATACAAATATTTAGCAATAGGTATTTTACCCAATTTATAAATGAGTTCTTACGTTTTAATGAAAATTCAAAATAGATAACTCAAATTTAAAAAATAACAGTATAAATAATGTACGGTATAAAAGGTTTCATATTACTTTAAGGCATGTAATTTATTACCTTCATATTCAGACCTTCATCATTCACCAGTTTCTTTTTTTCTTATTCAACTTTTATTTTAGGTTTAGAGGCTGCATGTGCAGGATTGTTACATGGGTCAAATATCACTGGTGGGACTGGGTGTGCAAATGATTTTATCACCCAGGTGGTGAACATAGTAACCAATAGGTAGTTTTTAGACCCTCACCCTATTTTCACCATTCATCTTCAAGTATGACCAGTGTTTATTTAACTCTTTGTGTCTGTGTGTACTCATCGTTTAGCTCCCACTTATAAGTGAGAACATGCAGTATTTGGTTTTCTGCCACTGTGTTAATTTGATTAGGATAATGGCCTCCAACTACATCCATGTTGCTGCAAAGGGCGTGATTTTGCTTTTTTCTATGGCTGTGTAATTGTCCCTGGATGTATGTGTACCACATATTCTTTATCCATTTTACTGTTGCTGGGCATATAGGTTAATTCTATGACTTTGCTATTGTGAATAGTGCTGCAGTGAATATACACATGCATGTGTCTTTTTGGTAGAATGATTCAGATTCCCTTGGATATATATACCCAGTAATAGGATTGCTGGGTTGAATGGTAGTTCTGTTTTAAGGTCTTTGAGAAATCTCCAAAATGCTTTCCACAGTGGCTGAACTAATTTACATCCCCTCCAGCAGCGTGTAAGCATTCCCTTTTCTCTGCAACCTCGCAAACATCTGTTATTTTCTGACTTTTTTGTAATAGTTATTCTGACTGGATGGTTTTGATTTGCATTTCTCTAATGATTAGAGATGTTGAGCATAATTTTTCACACACTTCTTGACCATGTGTATGTCTTCTTTGGAGAAGTGTCTGTTCATATTCTTGCCCATTTTTTTATGGAGTTGTTTGCCATTTTTCCTTGTTGATTAGTTCAAGTTTCTTATAGATCCTGGATATTAAACCGTTGTCAGATACACAGATAGCAAATATTTTCTTGTATTCTGTAGGTTGTCTGTTTACTCTGTTGACAGTTTATCTTGTTGTGTAGAGGCTCTTTAGTTTGATTAGGTCCCACTTATTTATTTTTGTTTTTGTTGCGATTGCTTTTGGAGACTTTGTCATGAAATATTTACCAAGGATTATGTCCATAATGGTATGTCCTAGGTTTTCCTCTAGGGTTTTTATACTTACAGGTTTTACATTTAAGTCTTTTTGTTTGTTTGTTTGTTTGTTTTGAGACGGAGTCTCACTCTGTCGCCCAGGCTGGAGTGCAGTGGCGTGATCTCGGCTCACTGCGAGCTCTGCCTCCCGGGTTCATGCCATTCTCCTGCCTCAGCCTCCCAAGTAGCTGGGACTACAGGCGCCTGCCACCACGCCTGGCTAGTTTTTTGTATTTTTAGTAGAGACGGGGTTTCACCATGTTAGCCAGGATGGTCTTGATCTCCTGACCTCGTGATCTGCCCACCTCGGCCTCCCAAAGTGCTGGGATTACAGGTGTGAGCTACCATGCCTGGCCACATTTAAGTCTTTAATCGATGTTTTTTTTCTTAATTTTTTTATTTTTAATTTTTGTGGGTACATACTAAGTATGTATATTTATGGGGTACAGGAGATATTTTGATACAGGGATGCAATTTGTAATAATTACATCATGGAGAATGGGGTGTCCATCCCCTCAAGCATTTACCCTTTGTATTACAAATAATCCAATTATACTTAGTTGCTTTAAAGTGTACAATTAAATTATTGCTGACTATAATCATCCTGTTGTGCTGTCACATGCTAGGTCTTACTTATTCTTTCTGTTTTTTAAATACGCATTAACCATCCCCACCTCTTCCCTAGTCCCCCTGACTACACTTCCCAACCTCTGGTAACCATCCTTTGACTCATGTCCATGAGTTCAGTTGTTTTGATTTTTAGATCCCACAAATAAGTAAGAACTTGTGCTGTTTGTCTTTCTGTGCCTGGCTTATTTCACTTAGCTTAATGACTTCTAGTTCCACCCATGTTATTGCAGATGACAGGCTCTCATGCTTTCTTATGGCTGAATAGTTCTCCACTGTGTGTATGTACATTTTCTTTATGCATTCATCTGTTGATGGACACTTAGGTTGTTTCCAAATTTTGGCTATCGTAAACAGTGCTACAACAAACGAGAGTGTGGATATCTCTTTGACATACTGGTTTCCTTTCTTTTGGCTATATACCTAGCAGGAGGATTGCTGGATCATATGGCAGGTTTCTTTTTAGTTTTTTTTTGAAAGACCTTCAAACTGTTCTCCATAGTAGTTGTACTAGTTGACATTCCCACCAGCTGTGTACAAGGATTCTCTTTTTTTCCATATCCTTGCCAGCATTTGTTACCTTTTTTTGTCTTCTTTAACTTTCTTGGGGACATACAAGGTGTATATATCTATGGATTACATGAGATGTTTTGATACAGGTATGCAATGTGAAATAAGCACCTCATGGAGAATGGGGTATCAGGCATTTATCCTTTGAGTTACAATCAAATTACACTCTTTAAGTTACGTTAAAATGTACAATTAAGTTATCATTGACTGTAGACACCTTGTGCTATCAAATAGTATGTCTTTTTTATTCTTTCTAAGTATTTTTTTTTTGTCAGCCATTAACTGTCTCCACCTCTCCTCCAGCTCGCCACTACTTTTCCCCACCTCTGGTAACCATCCTTCGACTCTCTATGCCCATGAGTTCAGTTGTTTTGATTTTTATATCCCACAGATAAGTGAGAACATGCGATATTTGTTTTTCTGTGCCTGGCTTATTTTGCTTAACATCATGATCTCCAGTTCCATCCGTGTTGTTGCTGCAAACGACTGGATCTCATTCTTTTTTTTTTTTTTTTTTTTGGCAAAATAGTACCCCAGTGTGTGTATATTAGCACATTTTCTTTATGCATTCATTTGTTGATGGACACTTAGGTTGCTTCCACATCTTAGTTATTGTAAGCAGCACTGCAACAAACATGGGAGTGCAGATATCTCTTTGATATACTGGTTTCCTTTCTTTTGGGTATATACCCAGCAGTGAGATTGCAGGATCATATGGCGGCTCAATTTTTAGTCCTTTGAGGAATCTCCAAAGTTTTCTCCATAGTGGTTGCACTAATTTACATTCCCACCAACAGTGTACAAGGGTTCCTTTTTCTCCATATTCTTGCCAGAATTTGCTATTGCCTGTCTTTTGGATTTAAGCCATTTTAACTGGGGTGAGATGATATCCTATTGTAGTTTTGATTTGCATTTCTCTGATGATCAGTGATGTTAAGCATCTTTTCATATGCCTGTTTTCCATTTGTGTGTCTTCTTTTGAGAACTGTCTATTCATATCTTTTGCCCATCTTTTTTTTTTTTTTTTTTGGAGACAGAATCTTACTCTGTCACCTAGGCTGCTGGAGTACAGTGGTGTGATCTTGGCTCACTGCAACCTCTGCCTCTTGGGTTCAAGCGATTCTCCTACCTCAGCCACCTGAGTCTGGGATTACAGATGTACACCACCACACCTGGCCAATTTTTGTATCTTTAGTAGAGATGGGGTTTCACCATGTTGGCCAGGCTGGTCTCAAACTCCTGAGCTCAAGTGATCTACTGCCTCGGCCTCTCAAAGTGCTGGGATTACAGGCGTGAGCCGCTGCGCCCAGCCTTGCCCATCTTTTGATCAGATTATTAGATTTTTTTCCTATAGAGTTGTTTGAGCTTCTTATATATTGTGGTTATTAATCCCTGTTCAGATGCATAGTTTGCAAATATTTTCTCCCATTTAAGTGGGTTGTCTCTTCACTTTGTTGATTGTATCCTTTGCTGTGCTGGAGCTTTTTTTTTTTTTTTTTTTTTTTTTGAGACGGAGTCTCGCTCTGTCGCCCAGGCTGGAGTGCAGTGGCGGGATCTCGGCTCACTGCAAGCTCCGCCTCCCGGGTTCACGCCATTCTCCTGCCTCAGCCTCCCAAGTAGCTGGGACTACAGGCGCCCGCCACTACGCCCGGCTAATTTTTTGTATTTTTAGTAGAGACGGGGTTTCACCGTTTTAGCCGGGATGGTCTCGATCTCCTGACCTCGTGATCCGCCCGCCTCGGCCTCCCAAAGTGCTGGGATTACAGGCGTGAGCCACCGCGCCCGGCCTGTGCTGGAGCTTTTTAACTTGATGTGATACTTTTTGTCCATTTCTTCTTTGGTTGCCTGTGCTTGTGGGGAACTACCTGTGAACTCAATGTATCTGAGACAAGTCTTTTTTTTTTTTTTTTTTTGAGACGGGATCTTGCTCTCACACCCAGGCTGGAGTGCAATGGCATGATCTTGGTTTGCTGCAACCTCTGCCTCCCAGGTTCAAGCGATTCTCCTGTGTCAGCCTCTTGAGTAGGTGGGATTACAGGCACCCGCCACCATGCCCGGCTGATTTTTGTATTTTTAGTAGAGATGGGGTTTCACCATGTTGGCCAGGCTGGTCTTGAACTCCTGACCTCAGGTGACCCACCCACCTTGGCTTCCCAACGTGCTAGGATTACAGGCATGAGCCACCGCGCCTGGCCGAGACAAGTCTTAATCAATTTAGGAAGTTTATTTTGCCAAGGTTACAGGATGTAACCATGACATAGCCTCAGGAGGTCCTTGATGACATGTACCTGTGGTAGTTGGGGGCACAGCCTACTTTTATACGTTTTAGGGAGACATAATAATGTCTATCAATACATGTAAGATTTAAATTGGTTTGATCTGGAATGGTGGGACAAGTCAGAGTGGGGGCTTCCAGGTCATAGGTAGTTTTAAAAATGTTCTTATTGGCAATTGGTTGAGAGAGTTATCAACAGAAAGGAATGTCTGGGTAACAAGAAGAGGTTGTGGAAACTAAGGTTTTATCACGCAGATGAAATCCCCAGATAGCAGGCTTCAGAAAGAATAGATTGTAAATGTTTATTATCAGAACTTAAGGTCTGTGTTGATGTTAATGCTGGTTGGCTTTTCCCGAATTCCAAAAGTGAGGAGGGTATAAAGAAGCTTGTCTGACTCCCTCTTCCCATCGTGGCCTGAAGTAGTTTTCCAGGTTAACTTTGAAATACCCTTATCTGAAATGAGGGGTCCATTCAAATGGCTGAGGGGCCTTAGAATGTTATTTGTGGTTTATATTTTCAAGAAACTTTTGCCTTGGAGGACTATGGCAAGTTTTGGGGGATGGGCATCCATGACCATGCTCCACTGCAGCCAATACTGCACCAAACCTCTGGGCTCTGTGCAGCTAAGAATCCTGTCTTTGTCAACTTTCTGAGCAGTTCTCTTTTCCAGCTCAAGTGTCCATGGGGGCTGTAGGATCTCCCGCAGCTAGGATCCTGGAGGACCATGGCAACAGTGGACCTCTCCATGCCTATCTTACTCACCCCTTCCCTGGGAACCACCCAGGGCCAGAAATGAGTCCTGGTCCTCAGCAATCCTGGGTGGGGTTCCCACCTTTCTCCCGTTTCAGCCTGCATCCTTTCTCGGTCCACTGTCAGTGCCTGCTTTCCAAAGATCTGTTTATAGTGTGCTGTTCTACTTGATGGTCTGCTTTGTGGGCAAAAGATCGTCCTGACTGTGTCTGGTTGACCATCTTGACTCTCCTCTTTTTTTGTGATTTCTTGCCTCAGTTTGTTGCACACAGAGTACTGTCTAAGGCTGTGGGTGCCCCTATTCACCCATTACACTGCTATGGGACTTGAGCTGTTACACGTTTAGTTTTTGATGTTGACAGTGTCCTTGCTTTTGTCCCAAGTGACAATGCTTCATAAATTTATTACGCATTGAGAAAAAAAGTGCTGGGTTTTTAAGTTACAGATAAATTCACATTTGCTAGAAAATGCCAGTGGAATGTATGGATAAACTGACCCTTCATAAATATGTGTTTATTCCTTACAAATACTTAGCCTTATTTGTTTCTTTATTTCCATGTGACTGTATATACTTTTTACTGATTATCATTGGTTTTGAGCATTTTTCCTGTGTGGTAATTTTCTATGAAATAGGTTTCAATCATTTTCTGTGAAATAGTTTTCAAATAGTTCTCATTTATTTGTTTGTTTATTGCTTTTACCCCTCCCCCCTTTAAACATACTCTGCACGCTATTCCACTTTATTTGTAAAGACTGCAAATATATTTTTTCCCAAGGTAATTTTTTCTTTTCACTCCAGTCTACCATTTGATGGACTCTTCTTAATTTTAGTAGAATTGAACTTGTCATTCTTTTTTCGGAGGCTTTATTTTTTCACATAAGAAAACTTGGAAGACAGAAGGGCATGTTATGCTCACGGAGTTAACTCCTTAGGTTTTCTTTCCTCATCACCAGGGACTCATCACTTCTGGGGCTGCATTTCAGCAGAGTCTGGCTCTCAAACTTGGAATATGTTTAACCTTCTCAAGGAGGGTTTTCATTTTGAACTGTAGGTGAAACAGGCTCCTTATCTGAGCTATAGCAAATGTTTGCTTTTCTTCCCTTGTAACTCCTTTATGCAATATTGCTGCCATATAACTCCAGTGTTTTGTGCATTTAGTAATTTTAGTTTCTTATTGGCATCTTTTTATTTTCTTGGTTGAACATGCATAGACCGGCCAGGCCTGGTGGCTCATGCCCGTAATCTCAGCACTTTGGGAGGCTGAGGCAGGTGGATCACTTGAGCTCAGGAGTTCAAGACGAGCTGGGCAACATGGTAAAACCCCGTCTCTACAAAAACTACAAAAATTAGCCGGGCATGGTGGTGCGCACCTGTGGTCCCAGCTACTTGAGAGGCTGAGGGAGGCAGGAGGATCATTTGAGTCCAGGAGATGGAGATTGCAGTGAGCCCAGATTGTGCTACTGCACTCCAGCATGGGTGACAGAGTGAGACCCAGTCAAAAATAAAAAGAAGGAAAGAGAAAAGAAAAGAAAGAAAGAAAGTGCATAGACTGAGAGAGAGTGAGGTAGCTTTCATCCTGGGGCCAACAGCCTCGTCCCGAATTGCAGAGGTCTGGCTCCCGCATGTTCCACTGTTGCCTGACCTGGGCCCCGTTCTTCCTTGAGGCTGAGGATGGCTCCATTAGACAATGAGTCTATAATTTCCTGTCCATGCTGTGCCCCTGAGTCCAGGAGGAAAAGGCAGAAAGGCCCTGTGGAGTGCAGGAAGACAACAGTGGAACTCTTTAAAGGCAGTACGAAGTTCTGCTTCAATGCAAATGCCTCCTGGGTGAGGTCAGGTCCCAACACAGGAAGGAAGCCAAGAACCCATCATTCTGGCCTCATTGGGCCCCACATCTGATCACATTTCTTGTCACTTAGGGAAGGAGCAGAGGCATGTGAAGCCCTATCCAGTCAGAAGCTCAGTAGCAAGCCAGAGAGGAGCAGGTAGCATTCTACAATTCAGCAGAGCCTTTGTCTTAAGAGCCACTGGTAGCAGAGCTCAGGGTCTTGTCTCCACTGCTGCATGTCCTCTGATCAAGGAGGTTCCAGATGACTCTGCTGCATCTTCTCTTGCCCTATGACCTGCTTGCGGGTACTGCGACATTCTAGAAAAGATGCAGGGACACCCGTGACATTCTGGAAAAGATGCAGGGACACTCTAGAAGTTGGGAAATGGTGAGTGTGCAGGATGGGGATCCTAACACGGGGAGGGGCTGATTGGAACCAGGCAGAATTGGCTGAGGCCAGACCCAGCCCTCCCTGTGGTCAGCTACAGAGTCTGTGACCCAGTGTCTGTGGTGCAGCTCAGACCTTAGTGCCCCTTCAGTGCAGGGTGAGGCTGTGCCAGCACGTGGGATCCCAGGCATCCTGTCACTGCTCCAGCAAATTTGCTCTGGCCCAAGGCCCTCTGGGAAGCTGTGTGCCCACAGCCCCATGTCTCCCTCAGATTGTGTGGCTGTGACGGGAGAGTCATCGGAGGAGAGTTTTCACTTGGTGTGCAGGGTTTGTGTGGAGGGGTAGTTGTGGTCCGTGGGGTCACTGGTTCTCCTTTCTCCCCAGGTGTCACCTGTTTTCCTCTGAATCTTCAAGATGTATGAAAAACAGAGTCTCAAATCCACTGTCTTGTCCTTCCCAGCCTAGCTCCTCCTAAGGCTGGCGATGAATTCCCCAAATTCCAGTTTCCTTTTTTTTTTTTTTTTTTTTGGTGTCTCGCTCTGTCGCCCAGGCTGGAGTGCAGTGGCACGATCTCGGCTCACTGCAAGCTCCGCCTCCTGGGTTCACGCCATTCTCCTGCCTCAGCCTCCCAAGTAGCTGGGACTACAGGCGCCCACCACCACACCTGGCTAATTTTTTGTATTTTTAATAGAGACGGGGTTTCACCGTGTTAGCCAGGATGGTCTCAGCTAGTCTTGATCTCCTGACCTCTTGATCCGCCCGCCTCAGCCTCCCAAAGTGCTGGGATTACAGGCGTGAGCCACCGCGCCTGGCCTTCAGTTTCCTTTTCACACTCCAAAATGCCACTTTTCCTCTCTAGTTCACGACAATATTATCAACTATTTGTTTCCTATGATCCATTTTGAATGGGTACTGTTTTGTCATTTGTTTCAATGAGTAATGGATGGCAACTTTTAAAACATTTGATTTGTTTCTGAACACTTTACATAAAAGAAAAGCAGAGAATAACCACCTGACCACTGTATAAAATCTTCATGACTCTCCTCCTTTTATTTTACCTAAGCGCAGACATTTCATCAGAATGTCTTTGGGCTGAGATTCCTCTATGGAAACTGTAAAGAGTGATGTATCCTCAGCCACCCTCTTGCCTTTTCCTGGTCCTGGGTTTCAGAACTGTCTGGCATAACCCAAGATGCCCACAGTGGCCTTATCTTGGAGTGTCTGATGAATATCTGACCTGGGTCATCTTCTTCCGGAGGACAGACTGAGGTATGGGAGTGTAGCTTCTCAGTGGAGCAGCTGGTTCTGTGCTGAGGGGAGTCTTCCGATAGACCCTTCATCTAAAATGCTAACCTTTTGGGATATTAACAGAGAAGGGAAACCCACCCCAGTGACGTGGTGAAAGAACCTGCAAAGCAAAATAAGCACTTTGGACACACAGGGGGCACAGTACACTTGGGGGAGCAGTCACTGAGCATTTTAGTGAGCAGGGTGAGGGTTGGAGGACATTCCACATGTCAGGATGGCCTGACGACGTTTCAGCATAACTGTGTTCCAGTCAGTACCACCCCTCCCTGTGTTGTCACCTTAAAAAGATTTGTTTGAGCCTCATTCCTTTATTAAATGTAAAGTGTATTTCATCAGTAGAGATAAAAAGGTAAAATATTTTCGAGGAGGCCAGAAGGAAATGGATTTCAAAAATTTAAATATTTAGTTTTATATTTTATTTGTTAACAATTACTGTTTACCTTTTTATTTCCCCTAAACATGTGGAATAAATTTCTGCTCTTTTGAGTAATTTCAGATGGAATTCTAGGACCTTTACTCAGTCCTACCAGGGAAAACAAATAAGGGAAATGTCTCTTCCATTGTGGGTGCAGAAAATGAATACGTTTCCACCAAGGAAAAAAAAAAGTGTCGTAAATTGGCGAATTACAAAGATTCACCAAAACATCACTTTCTCATTTTCGCATGTTGGAGAATTTGTGACAGTGTATAAGCCTGTTCTGTTTCTGTTATCTGTACTTGGCTGATTGGTGCTGCATCCTACGGGACAACCATCGGCAACCCCTAGAGTACTCAAATATGATCACAGTTTATTATTGTGGAAATAATAGTTAAATGATAGCTCTGTAGTCTGAAAGGGATAGAAAATGCCTCTTTTCCTGAAGGTACTAATTCCCATTCTTAGATCACCCTTATCATTTTGTTTAATCCCAATAATCTCCCAGAAATGCCACCTCCTAATATTGGCACATTGTGGTTAGGATTTTCACATAGGAATTCTGGGGGGATAAACATTCAGTGTATAATACTCCATGACAGTGTTCTCTACAATATCTTTGCTATTATCAGACATTTGTCTGCTCTTTCACTTTTCAGAAGTAGTTTTTCTTAAGTTCACTAACAAAGCAAACCTGGTTGTGGATTTCATGGAAGTTAAAATGCTGTAACTACGTGGAAGAGCCTACGTTATGGGGAGCTCAGTCTCCTTTCTAAGGACATATGCCATCTTGCCATTTCTTTTATTATACTTTGATGTATAATGTATAAATATCGTTGTATAGTTTTTTCTATTATTATTTTATATAATTTATTAGACTTATTTCATGACAACAAAAATTAGTTTTAATAGCTTGTGTTATTTTTTAAAAGTTCGCCTGTAATCCCAGCATTTTGGGAGGCCGAGGAGGTCAGAAGTTCAAGACTAGCCTGGCCAAGATGGTGAAACCCCATCTCTACTAAAAATACAAAAAGATTAGCCAGGTGTGGTGGCGGGTGCCTGTAATCCCAGCTACTTGGGAGGCTGAAGCAGAGAATTGCTTGAACCCAGGAGGCGGAGGTTGCATTGAGCCAAGATCGCGCCTCTGCACTCCAGCCTGGGCAACAGAGCGAGACTCCATCTCAAAAAAAAAAAAAAAATTTACTTTTAACAGCTTGACAGTGTTTCGGTTGACTGTGTCATTGTTTTATGTATTTTCTGCATACGTAACATTTGAAGGGAGTTTCCAAAATGCAAACTCAATGCACAGATCTCAGTGGCTTTTTGAATTGTGTTGCACTGAGATTTGTGCATTGTTTGCAATTTGGAAACTTCCTACAAATGTTGCATAGCAGAAAATATATAAAACAAATGCATGGTCAGCGGAAATACTGTAAAGGAAATGTCCACATAATGACAACCAGATGAATACTTGGAAGAAACCTTCACACTGCACGCCTTACTTAAAATGATTTCTCAAGGCCAAATTATCCCATTTCTCTCCAGAATTATGAATTATAAGATAATTTATTTTCCTTTCTTCATAGCTTTATAACCTGTGTTATACTTTATTTTTACATGTTTTTATGAAAATTTTATTCTGTGTGTAATTTTTTTGCATGGCTATAAATCTTCTATGGAATGGTTGTCTATTTACTTTTTATTTAATGGACTTTATTTTTCAGTGCACATTTAGGTTTGCAGAAAAATTGGGCAGATAGTACGGAGTTCCCATATTTACCTGTTCTCTCATTCATGGATTATGTTTTCCATGTTGCAGCTGAATCCTCATTGCCAAACCAAAGATTACCCTCAGTTTCTCCTGTGTCATCTTCCAGAAGTTCTAAATTTTCTGTTTCACATTTCAGTTTATAATCTATGTTGAGTTTATTCTGTGACTGTTGCAAGGTGTCTTTTTTATTTCCTTGCGTATGGATGTCCAGGTGTTCAACATTTGCTTTAGAGACCAGACCTTTTCTGTTGAATTTCCTTTGGTCTTTTGTGAAAGTTCAGCTGATTATATTTGTCAGGGTTTATTTCTGGGTTTTCTGCCCTCTTTTGTTTATCTTCTTTTCTTTCCCAAATATTGCACTGTCTTGATTACTATAGCTTTACATTAAGTCTTAGTGTCAGGTGGTATCAATTCTGTGAATTGATTCTTCAATATTGTATTACCATCTGGGTCTTTTGGCTTTTCATATAGGTGTTAGAATAAATTTTCTTTTTTTAAAATAACATGACTTGTTAGGATTTTTATTGTAATTGTACTGAATTTGTTATTCAAATTGGGGAGAACTGACATCTTAGCAATATTGAGGCTGCCTATTCATGGACGTGGAATATCTCTCCATTTATTCAGATCTTTTTTTCTATCATTAGAAATGTATAGTTTTGCATAGTTTTGTCATATAGGTCTTTCTTTTTACTGGGTGCTATATAAGTGCTGTTGTGTTTTTAAATTTAAATCAGTTGCTCATTGCTAATATACAGAAAAATAATTGGCTTTTGTATATTAACCTTACATTGTACCACTTTGCTATAATCTCATTAGCTCAGGGAGATTTTTGTTGGTTCTTTTGGATTTTGTACATAGACAGTCATGTTATCGACAAATAACTATTAATCTGCAGAAAGGCAGTTTTATTTATCCTTTCTCAATTTCAGTGGCTTCATCTGCTCTGCCCTATTTCTTAACCTTCTGGTTTTTCAGCAACTATTGATATGATTATATACTTTTTGTTGTTTATCTTGTTGATGTGATAAAGTCAATTGGTTTTTGCTTTTTGAATCAGCCATGATTATCTGTCATAATTCCTATTTGGGTGGGTGTATATTTTTTATTTTATTTTTTATTTTTGTTTATTTATTTACTCATTTATTTTATTACTATTATTTTTTGAGACAGAGTCTCGCCCTGTCTCCCAGGCTGGAGTGCAGTGGCGCGATCTCAGCTCACTGCAAGCTCAGCCTCCCAGGTTCACGCCATTCTCCTGCCTCAGCCTCCTGAGTAGCTGGGACTACAGGCGCCCTCCACCACGCCCGGCTAATTTTTTTTTTTGTATTTTTAGTAGAGACAGGGTTTCACCGTGTTAGCCAGGATGGTCTCGATCTCCTGACCTCATGATCCGCCCGCCTCGGCCTCCCAAAGTGCTGGGATTACAGGTGTGAGCCACTGCGCCCAGCCTGGGGTGTGTATTTTTTAATACATTTTTAGATTGAAAATTTTTGCATCTCTGATTATGAGATTTTTTTTTCTGTTGTTTTCTTTTGTAATGTATTCCTGTAGTTTTGGTAGTTAGGGCAGTGTTGTCTGCATAGCATGAATTAGGAAGTGTGTACTCTGCTTCTGTTTTCTGGAAGAGCGTATAGAGAATCTGTGTCAGTTCTTCAAATGTTTGGTGGAATTCACTAGTGTGATCATCTGGGTCTTCAGCCTTGTCCTTCCTTTTTTGGACAGTTATTACTTTATTGATCCAATTTTAAAAATACGTATAGACCTATTCATGTCTGCTCATCTCTCCTTGTGTGAGTTTTTGGAGGTTTTTTCAAAGGATTGGTTCATTTTATCTGACTTACCAATCTAGTGGTCATGGAGTTGTTCATAATGTTCACTGTGGTTTTTTTTTTTTTTTTTAACTGTCTGTAGGATTAGTAGTAATGATGGAACCTCTTTTATTTCTGATGAACATTTTGGTCTTTTGTCTTTCTCCCTTGTTTGGTCTGGCTATAGGTTTATCAATTATATTGATGTTTATGGAGAACCAGATTTTGTTATTGTTGATTTTCTGTATTGACTTCTTGTTTGCAGCTTTCCTGATGTTTTCTATCAGTGTTGCTTGTCTGAGCTTGACTTAGGTTTATCTTCCTGGCTTTTTTCTAGTTTCTTAAAATGGAAGGTTGAATTATTGGTTTTAGATCTTTCTTTTCTAGCACATGCCCTCCATGCTTTAAATTTCTTCCAAGCACCACTTGTACTGCATTTCACAAAGTATCTGAAGATGTATTTTATTTAATTTCCTTTGAAGTATTTAAATTTTCCTTGAGACTTGTCTTTGACCTGTTTGTTATTTAGAACTTTGCAGTTTAATCTTCAATTATTTGGATGTTTTTCAAGTATATTTCTGTTATCGATTTCTAGTTTAATTCCAATTATGTTCTTAGGGCATATTTTATATGTTCACTAGTTTTATTTTGTTTTAGTTTTTAATTTTTGTGGGTACATACTAGGTGTATATATTTATGAGTTACATGAGATATTTTGATACGGGCATGCAATGCATAATAATTGTACCAGGGTAAATGGGGTATCTATAACTTTAAACATTTATCTTTTGTGTTACAAACTGTTTATAACCTTTTACTTATTTTAAAATGTACAATTAAGTTATATTTGACTGTAATCATCCTGTTTTGCTAGCAAAATACAAGGTCTTGTTTATTTTTTCTAACTATTTTTTTTGTACCCATTAAACATTCCCACATCCCCTCCACCTCCTCCACTATTGTTCCCACCCTTTGGTAACCATCCTTCTACTTTCTATCTCCATAAGTTCAGTCATTTTAATTGTCAGTTCTCACAAGTAAGTGAGAACATGTGAAGTTTGTCTCTTTTCCTGGCTTATTTCATTTAACACAATGACTTCCAGTTTCATCCGTGTTGTTGCAAATGAATGGATCTCATTCTTTTTTTATGGCTAAATAGTATATCATTTTGTATATGTGCTACATTTTCTTCATCCATTCTTCTGTTGATGGACACTTTGGTTGCTTCCAAATCTTGGCTATTGTGTGCTGCAGTAAACATGGGAGTTCAGATGTGTTTTCAATATACTGATCTCCTGTTCTTTGGATATATACCTAGGAGTGGGATTGCCGTCATCATGTGGTAGCTCAATTTTTACTTTTTGAGGAACCTTGAAACTGTTCTCCAGAGTGGTTGTACTAATTTACATTTCCACAACCACTATACCAGGGTTCCCTTATCTCTACATCCTCTCCAGCAATTGTTGCCTGGTAAAAGCCATTTTAATGGGAATGAGATATCTCATCATGATTTTGATTTGCATTTCTCTGATGATCAGTGATACTGAGCATCTTTTCATATACCTGTTTACCATTTGTATGTCTTCTTTTGAGACATTTTTGGATTGGATTATTTGCCCATTTTTGGATGAGATTATTAGAATTTTTTTTCCTGTATTTGTTTGAAATCCTTATGTATTCTGTTTATTAATCTCTTGTCAGATGAGTAGTTTGCAAATATTTTCTTGCATTCTGTATGTTGTCTTTTCACTTAGTTGATTGTTTCCTTTGCTGCACAGAAGCTTTTTAACTTGATGTGGATCTCATTCGTCCATGTTTGGTTTGGTCTCCTGTGCTCATGGGGTATTACTCAAGAAATCTTTGCCCAGTTCAATGTCCTGAAGAGTTTCCCCAATGCTTTCTTGTAGTAGTTTCATAGTTTGAGAACTTATATTTAAGTTTTTAATCCATTTTGATTTTGTTTTTATATGGTGAGAGATAGTGGTCTAGTTTTATTCTTCTACATGTGGATATCCAGTTTTTCCAGCACCATTTATTGAAGAGATTGTTCTTTCCCCAGTGTGTGTTCTTGGTACCTTTGTCAAAACTGAGTTCACTGGTCTCGAACTCCTCACCTGATGATCCGCCTGCCTCAGCCTCCCAAAGTGCTGGGATTACAAGCATGAACCACCGTGCTCAACCTCTTTTTTAGTTTTTTAAGATGCGTTATTAGGTGGTTGTTTGAAATTACTCTTTTTTTGATGTAGGTATTTACAGCTATAAACTTCCCTCTTAGTATTGCTTTCACTTTATCCCACAGGTTTTGGTATGTTGTATTTCCATTATCATTTGTTTTTAGAAGTTTTTCAGTTTCCTTTTAAATTTCTTCATGACTCATTCAGGAGCATATTAATTTCCGTGGATCTGTAGAGTTTACAAAAGTTGTCTTGTTATTGATTCCTAGTTTTAATCCTTTGCGGTCAGGGAAGATGCTTGATACTATTTCAATTTTTTCTGGTGAATGTTTTAAAGACTTTTTTGTGACCTACCATATGGTCTATCCTTGAGAATGATTCATGTTCTGATGAAAAGAATGTGTATTCTGAAGCTGTTGGACAAAATGTTCTGTAAGTATCTATTAGGGCCATTTGGTCTACAGTGCAGAGTAATTCCAGTGTTTTCATTATTGATTTTTTTTTTTTTTTTGGTCTGTAAGATTGTCTAATGCTAAAAGTAGGGTGTTGAAGTCTATAGCTGTTATTGTTTTGGGGTCTCTCTCTCTTTAGCTCTATTAATATTTGCTTTATATATCTGAGTGCTTCAGTATTGAGTGCATATATATTGAAAATGGTTATATCCTCTTGCTGAATTGGATATCAGCACATACATATCATTATGTAGTGACTTCTTTGTCTCTTTTTATAGTTTTTGTTTGAAATTTATTTCATCTGATATAAGTATAGCTATTCTTTTTTTGGTTTCTATTGATATGGAATATCCTTTTTTATCCCTTTGTTTTCAGTTTGTATGTGTCTTGATAGGTGAAGTATGTTAGGCAGCCAGTCAGTGGGTCTTGTTTTTTTATATTCATTGAAGCACTCAGCATCTTTTGATGGGAGAATTTAGTTCCGTTAAACTCAGTGTTATTCAGTGAAGGTGATTTTTCCTGGTGGTATTGTTACAGTCTCACCAATGCACCACAATGTAGCAGTCTCTAGTTGTGCAGTATCACTGGAAGTTGTCTCATGACCAAGAATATTAAGGAGCGTGTATAGAAAGGGTGAGATTGGGGTGAAAGTTTAATAAGTGGAAGAAGAAAGCTCTCTGCAGCAGAGAAGGGGGTCTGAATGGGTTGCCAAATATGAGGCTGGCTCCAGGATTTTTATGGACCAGGAAGGGAAGGAAGGTGCTGACTGGTCTTGAAGAAAGTGCTACTCTGCTTGGCCTGGGACCAATCAGGAGTTGAAGTGAGAGCTTGTCCTGGGACCTTGGCCTGGGGCCAATCAGAGACTGAAGTGATGATTCATAGAGGCTTGGCTCACACAAAGTGTGTCTAAAAAAGGAAAGGAAAGTGCTCACCAGAGCCCACCATGTACGTGCCCACAAAGGAAGAGACTATTTCCTGGAAGCCCGCTGGTTATACAAAGGACAAAGGTGTTTCTGTGTTGGGTCTTGTTCCCTTATCAGTGTAGCTGGAGGTATGTCTTAGGCACAAAGGACAAAGGTGTTGTTATGTTGGGCCTTGTTCCTTTATCTGATTGGGCTGGAGGTTTGTGCAAGTTTCCTTATCTGTGCCTGCAGCCTGATTTTTTTCAGGCAGTTTCTTTAAAGGAGTTTTACCAAAGACCAGTTTTTAGCTGTCTGCCCAACTAGTTTTCCTTTTTTCCTCCCTTGGTATGATTTACTTTCTTTCTTGTTATATTTTATGTATCCATTGTATGTTTTTAAATTTGAGGTTACAAGAAGGCTTGCAAATACTGTCTTATAACTCATTATTATTATTATTATTTGAGACAAGCATAGCTCAAAGTTTCCTTTACTTTTTACTCTGCTTTTCTCAAACAGGAGTCTGTCACTGTTGTCACCACAACTGGGAATGTGCTACGTCTCACTTGAAGCCAGCACATCTCAGAATGTCACCAAAGGCCCGTGGCTTACTGCCTGTATATCAATTGTGGTTATTCAGGGCCCACTGTATCTTAAATTAGCTAGTAATGGGTCTTCCCAGGACTAGGTTCTTTCTTTCAAGGCATTTGGTTCCCTTCTGGTCCAGCATAGGCCTAGAAATGTCCTCCAGGAACTAGGGCCTAAAATGTGGGCCTCACAACCCTGCCCAGTGCCCTATCCTACTGGAGCTGAGCTCTTATCAAAGTTGCAAGACAAAGTCCTCTTTACTCTTCCCTCGCCTCTCCTCAGGTGGAAGGGGGTTCCCTTTTGGAGCCATGAGCTGTGCTGTTTGAGGTTGAAGGAGGGATGGTATAAGCCCTTAGCCATGCCAGCTGGCATCTCAGTAGATTGTGTGCCTTTTAAGTCCTCTGCCTCTGAGCCCAGCTCAGCACCAGGAGTTGCCATTCTTGTGGCTTAGACTGCCTTTCAGGTGTATTTAGGGCCGCAGAGCACTTTAGCCCCTGGTGTTGAGGCCCGCTAGAACTCAAATTCCAACCACTGGGATAGGCAAGTCCCCTCTGGTTAGGACGGTCTAAATGTTTCCTCTGCTGAAGTTAGCTGAGTTCTGCCTGGTGTTGGCAGCACTACATTCCAATGCAAAGTGGCACAATTGCTGTACTCTACCTTTCCCAGTCACACAGATTCTCTATGCTATGCGGCTGCTGCCAGGTAATGGAGGAAGGGTGGTGTTGGCAATTCAGGACTCTTACCTAATCTTTTCAGTGCCTTTTTCAGTGATAAGAAGTTAAAAGCAGGTATGCTTGTCTGAGTTTTTGTTCTTATGAATGTTCTTTTTTGGTGTAGATAGTTGTTAAATTTGTTGTGCCTATGGGCATGGATGACAGATGGAGCCTTCTATTTGGCCATCTTCCTCTACTCTCCTGTTACTAGGTTTTTTGTTTGTTTGTTTTGTTTTTAAATTTTTCAGCGTCTGTTTTATTTCTCAGAATGTGACCCAAGTTGGCAAAGAGACCATGTGATCCTGCCATTTTTGTTTGTTTGTTTGTTTTTTGTTTTTTGAGACGGAGTCTCGCTGTGTTGCCCAGGCTGGAGTGCAGTGGCACGATCTCGGCTCACTGCAAGCTCCACCTCACGGGTTCACGCCATTCTCCTGCCTCAGCGTCCTGAGTAGCTGGGACTACAGGCGCCTGCCACCATGCCCGGCTAATTTTTTGTATTTTTTTTAGTAAAGATGGGGTTTCACCATGTTAGCCAGGATGGTCTCTTATCTCCTGACCTCGTGATCCACCTACCTCGGCCTCCCAAAGTACTGGGATTACAGGCGTGAGCCACCGCGCCGGCCTGAACTTTATAATAATTTCAACTGAGCATGAACTTTCCTGGGCAAAATCTGGGGGTCGATGAAAGGGAAGTGCAGATACAGGGACAGAAGTCACAGCAGATGGGATGGAGTGGGGCCTAAAAGCCCTACTTGCATTCTCAGTGAGGAGGCTTGTAGCCTGGGGCAAGATCGCAGCCCTTCTCACTGGCTTCCTGCATATAAGCTCGGGTGCTGGGGGTGAGAGTGAGACTGGCTTTTCCGGCTGCATGGGAACTGCGTGAGGCCTGTCACTGCTGGCTTTCTCCCACTTCCCTGGCAGCCTGTATGATACAGCAGAGGCAGCCATAGTGCCCCTGGAAACAACTCCATTGGCCTGAATACCACACCACCATCTCCCACAGTGGCCTCAGCAAGCTTCTCCCAAGGAGAGTCTGAGCTCAGACACATCTAACCTTGCCCCAGTCTGATGGTTCTTCTCTACCCACCTTGGTAGCCAAAGACAAAAGACATACTTTTTTGAGAACTCTATGACCCCACCCATTACCTGAGAAACCTGAATACTTATTCAGGTGACTTTAGGGCAAGCTGATATCCCCCTATATTACTGCAGCTGATGCTCTCTTGAAAGTGCCACCTCCTGGCTGCTGGCCAACCAACGCAAGCCATTATAGCAACTCATAACAGAATGACCCTGCTCCAAGAAAGCAGTAAACAACTGCTAATTCCACCACCTGTAACATCCTGGCTAACCAGAGATTCTGAGTCTGCCCACATGACAAGTTCATTGCTAGCGTAATTAGCATTCAAGAAAAACAATGCACCGAAAAAAAAACCCAAAAAACTACAAGCAAGGACCCTCACAGAATCCACCTGACTCCCCTGCTACATCCAATGAAGCAGGTATTGGTATCCAGGCCAAGAGACCTGAAGAGATCACATCACAGGACTCTTTGCAGACACTCCCCAGTACCAGCCCAGAGTCCAGCACCTCCAATGGGTGGCTTGACCTAGAAGAGCCATAACAGTCACTGCCTTCTGGGTCTCAGGAAGCCCATCCCTAGGGAAACGGGGAGGGCACCACATCAAGGCATCACCCTGTGAGACAGAAGAATCTGAACCACAGCCCTTGAGCCTCAGATCTTTCCTCTGACATAGTCTACCCAAATGAGAAGGAACCAGAAAAACAATTCTGGTAATATGACAAAATAAAGTTCTTTAACACCCTCAAAAATCACACAAGCTCCCCAGCAGTGGATGCAAACTAAGAAGAAATCTCTGAATTGCCAGGAAAAGAATTTAAAAGGTTGATTATTAAGCTACTCGTGGAGGCACCAGAGAAAGGTGGAAACCACTTTAAGGGAATTACAAAAAAAAAAAAAAAATACAGGACATGGACGAAAAAATCTCCAAACACATATCATCAATAAAAAACAATCACAACTTCTGGAAATGAATGACACACTTAGAGAACTGTGAAGTACACTGGAAAGTTTCAACAATAGAAGTGAACAAGTGTAAGAAAGAACTTCAGAGCTTGAAGACAAGGCTTTCAAATTAACCCGATGCAACAAAACAAAAAAAAAAAAAAAATGAAAAAAGAACAAAGCCTCTGAACCTAGCAATAATAGGTCTTCCTCAGGAAGAAGAGTAAACTAAAATTTTGGAATTCTTATTTGAGGAAATAATTGAGGAAAACTTCCCTGGCCTTGCTAGAGATCTAGACATCCAAATACAAGAAGCTCAAACAACACCTGGAAAATGTATCACAAAAAGATAATCACCTAGATGCATACTCATCAGGTTATCTAAAATTAAGAAGGAAAGAATCTGAAGAGCTGTGAGGCAAAAGCATCATTTAACCTAGGAAGGAAAACCTATCAGATTACAGCAGATTTTTCAGCAGAAACCCAACAAGCTAAAAGAGATTGGGGTTCTATCATTAGCCTCCTTCAACAAAATAATTGTCAGCCAAGAATTTTGTATCCAGTGAAACTAAGCTTCATAAATGAAGGAAAAATAAAATTATTTTCAGACAAGCAAATACTGAGAACTCACCACTACCAAACCAGCACTACAACAACTGCTAAAAGGAGTTTTTTTTTTGTTTTTTTTTTTCTTGGAGACGGAGTCTCGCTCTGTCGCCCAGGCTGGAGTCTCCTGCCTTAGCCTCCCAAGTAGCTGGGACTACAGGCGCTTGCCACCACGCCCGGCTAATTTTTTGTATTTTTAATAGAGACGGGGTTTCACCATGTTAGCCAGGATGGTCTCGATCTCCTGACCTCGTGATCCACCCGCCTCGGCCTCCCAAAGTGCTGGGATTACAGGTGTGAGCCACCGCACCTGGCCTAAAGGAGTTCTAAATCATGAAACAGAACTTCAAAAAATACACCAAAATAGAACCTCCTTAAAGCATAAACCTCACAGGACCTATAAAACAATAACACAATGAAAAAAAAGAAAAAAAACCAAGGTATTCAGGCAGCAACTTGCAGCATGATTAATAGAAGGGTACCTTACATCTCAATGCTAACGTTGAATGTAAATGATCTAAATGCCCCCACTTAAAAGATACAAAATGGCAGAATGGATAAGAATTCACCACTGGGCACGGTGGCTCATGCCTGTAATCCCAACACTTTGGGAGGCCGAAGCGGGCAGATCACGAGGTCAGGAGTTCAACACCAGCCTGGCCAATATGGTGAAACCTCATCTCTGCTAAAAATACAAAAATTAGTTGGGCGTGGTGGTGCATGCTTGTAGTCCCAGCTATTCGGGTGGCTGAGGCAGGAGGATCGCTTGAACCCGGGAGATGGAGGTTGCAGTGAGCTGAGATGGTGCCACTGCACTCCAGCCTGGGTGACAGAGTGAGACTCTGTCTCAAAAAAAAAAAAAGAAGAAAAGAATTCACCAACCAAGTTATCAGCTGTCTTCAAGAGACTCACCTGACACATAAGGACTCACATAAACCTAAGGTAAAGAGGTGGAAAAAGATACTCCATGCAAATGGACAACAAAAGGGAGCAGGAGCAGGAGTAGCTATTCTTACATCAGAGAAAACAAACTTTAAAGCAATAGCAATTAACAAAGAGAAAGAGGAGCATTATGTAATGATAAAAAGACTAGTCCAACAGGAAAATATCACAGTCTTAAGTCCATATGCACTTAACACTGGAGCTTCCAAATTTATAGAATAATTACTACTAGACCTAAAAATGAGATAGATGGCAACACAATAACAGTGGGGGACTTCAATACTCCACTGACAGCACTAGACAGGTCAAGACAGAAAGCCAACAAAAAAATCAATGGTCTTGACTATATCATAGAACAGATGGACTTAACAGATATTTACAGAATATTCTACTCAACAATTGCAGTGTATGCATTCTGTTCATCAGCACATGGAACATTCTTGAAGATACACCATATGATAGGCCACAAAACAAGTCTCAATAAATTTAAGAAAATCAAAATCATATCAAGTACACTCTTAGACCACAATGGAGTATAATTGGAAATCAACTCCAAAAGGAACACTCAAAACCATGCAAATACATGGAAATTAAATAATCTGCTCCTGAATGACTGACTGTTGGGTCAACAATGAAATCAAGATAGAAGTTTAAACACTTTTTGAACAGAATGATAGTAGTGACACAACCTATCAAAACCTCTGAGATACAGCAAAGGTAGTGCTAAGACAAAAGTTTGTATCATTAAATGCCTACATTAAAAAGTCTGAACGAGTACAAATAGACCATCTAAGGTCACACCTGAAAGAACTAGAGGAACAATAGCAAACCAAATCCAAACCCAGCAGAATAAAAGAACTAACAAAGATCAGAGCAAAACTAAATGAAATTGAAACAAACAAAAAATACAAAAGATAAATGAAACAAAAAGCTGGTTCTTTGAAAAGATAAACAAAATTGATATACCATTAGTGAGATTAACCAAGAAAAGAAGAGAGAAAATCTAAATAAGCTCAATTAGAAATGAAACAGGAGGGCCAGGCATGGTGGCTCATGCCTGTAATCCCAGCACTTTGGGAAGCCGAGGTGGGCAGGTCGTGAGGTCAGGAGTTTGAGACCAGCTAAAAATACAAAAATTAGCTGGGCATGGTGACACATTCCTGTAATTCCAGGTACTCAAGAGGCTGAGGCAGGGGAATCACTTAACCCGGCAGGTGGAGGTTGCAGTGAGCTGAGATTGCACCACTGCACTCCAGCCTGGATGACAGAGTGAGACTCCATCTCAAAAAAAAAAAAAAAAAAGAAATGAAACAGGAGGTATTACAAACAATACAACAGAAATACAAAAGATTACTAAGGCTACTTTCAACAACTTTATGTGCACAAACTAGAAAACCTAGAGGAGATTTATGAATTCCTGGAATTATGAAACTCTCCTAGATTAAATAAGAAATAAATAGAAACTCTAAACAGACCAATAACAAGGAGCGGCATTGAGATGGTGATATGATTTGACTGTGTCCCCACCCAATGTCTCACCTTGAATTGAGAGACCAGGTGGAAGTAATTGTTCTCACGAAATCTGATGGTTTGATGAGTGTTTGGCAAGTTTCTCCTTCAGTCATTCTTCTTCCTACCACCATGTGAAGAAGGTGCCTTGCTTCCCCTTCGCCTCCTGCCATGATTGTATTTCCTGAGGCCTCCCCAGCCATGTGGAACTGTCAGTCAATTAAACCTCTTTCCCTTACAAATTACTCAGTCTCAGGTATTTTCTTATAGCAATGTGAGAATGGACTAATACAGTAAGTTGGTACTGTAGAGAGTGGGGTGGTGCTATAAAGATACCTGAATATGTGGAAGTTACTTTGGAACTGGGTAACAGGCAGAGGTTGGAACAGTTTGGAGGGCTCAGAAGGAGACAGGAAGATGTGGGTAAGTTTGGAACTTTCTAGAGACTTGTTAAATGGCTTTGACCAAAATGCTGATAGTGATATAGACAGTTAAGTCCAGGCTGAGGTGGTTTCAGATGGAAATGAGGATCTTCTTGGGAACTGAAGCAAAGGTGACTCTTGCTATACTTTAGCAAAGAGACTGGCAGCATTTTGCCCCTGCCCTAGAGATCTGCAGAACTTTGAAATTGAGAGAGATGATTTAGGGTATCTGGGAGAGGAAATTTCTAAAGAGCAAAGCATTCAAGAGGTGACTTGGGTGCTCTTAAAAGCATTCAGTTTTATGCATTCAAAAAAAGGTGGTCTGTAATTGAAACTTATGTTTAAAAGAGAAGCAGAGCATAAACGTTTGGAAAATTTTCAGCCTGATGATGTGATAGAAAAGAAAACCCATTTTCTGAGGAAAAATTTAAGCCAGCTGCAGAAATTTATGTAAGTAATGAGGAGCCAAATGTTAATTGCCAAGACAATGGGGAAAATGTCTTTAGGACATGTCAGAGGTCTTCACGGCAGTCCCTCCCATCACAGGCTTGGAGGCATAGGAGAAAAAAATGGTTTCATGATCCGGGACCCAGGGCCTTGCTGCTTTTTGTAGTCTTGGGACATGGTGCTGTGTCCTAGCTGTGGCTAAAAGAGACCAATGTACAGCTCAGGCCATTGCTTCAGAGGGTTCAAGCCCCAAGTCTTGGCAGCCTTTACTTGGTGTTGGGCCTGTGGGTACAGAAAACTTTAAGAATTAAGGTTTGGGAACCTTTGCCACGATTTCAGAGGATGTGTGGAAATGCCCGGACGTCTAGGCAGAAGTTTGCTGCAGTGGCCTAGCCCACATGGAGAACCTATGCTAAGGCAGTGTGGAAGGGAAATGTGGGATTGGAATCCCCACACAAAGCCAAGTTAAGAATTGAGGTTTGGGAACCTCTGCCACAATTTCAGAGGATGTATGGAAATACATGGACGTCTAGGCAGAAGTTTGCTGCAGTGGTGTAGCCCACATAGAGAATCTATGCTAAGGCAGTGTGGAAGGGAAATGTGGGGTTGGAATCCCCACACAAAGCCAAGTTAAGAATTGAGGTTTGGGAACCTCTGCCACAATTCCAGAGGATGTATGGAAATACACGGATGTCTAGGCAGAAGTTTGCTGCAGTGGTGTAGCCCACATAGGGAATCTATGCTAGGGCAGTGTGGAAGGGAAATGTGGGGTTGGAATTCCCACACAAAGCTCCCATTGAGGCACTGCCTAGTGGAGCTGTGAGAAGAGAGCCACCATCCTGCAGACCCAGAATGGTAGATCCACTGACAGCTTACAGTGTGTACCTGGAAAAGTCACAGACAATGCCACCTTGTGAAAGCAGCCAGGAATGGGGCTGTACCCTGCAAAGCCATAGGGGTGGAGCTGCCCAAGGCCATGAGAGTCCACTTCTTGCATCAGCAGGACCTGGATGTGAGACATGGAGTCAAAGGCGATCATTTTGGAGCATTAAGATTTTATTGCCCTGCTGGATTTTGGACTTGCATGGGGCCTGTAGCCCCTTTGTTTTGGCCATTTCTTCCATTTGGAACCGGTGTATTTACCTGTTGCCTTGGGCAACCTCATTCCTGTGGCTTTGCTGGATGCAGCCCATGTGACTTCTGACATACTAGAGTCAAATGCTTGCAACGTTTCCAGGCTCACAGTGCTTTCTGCTTGTGGCTGTACCATTCTGGGGTCTGGAAAGCAGCAGCCCTGTTTCCACAGCTCCGCTAGGCAGTGCCACTGTGGGGACTCTGTGTGGGGGCTTCATCCTCACATTTCTCTTGGCACTGCCCTAGTAGAGGCTGCCTGTGGGGTTCCACTCATGTCAGGCTTCTGCCTGGGCACCTACATTCCTGATACATCTGAAATTTAGGTGGAAGCTACCAAGCTTCCTTAACTCTTGTATTCTATGCACCTGCAGGCTTAACACTAAGCGGAAGCCTCCAAGGCTTATGGCTTGTGCCCTCTGGAACCGTGGCCCAAGTGGTATATGGTGCCTTTTTAGCCAAAGCTGGAACCAGAGCTACTGGAATGCAAGGAGCAGTGTCCTGAGGCTGCACAGGGCAGTGATGCTTTCGACCTGGTACCCCAAACTTTTTCCTTTTAGGCCCCTGAGCCTGTGGTGAGAGGGGCTGCCACAGTTTTCTGAAATGCATTACAGGTCTTTTTCTTAGCCTCATGGCTGTTGGCACCTGGCTCCCCTTTAGTTGTGCAACTCTCTCTTACAAGTCATTGCTCCACAGGCTGCTTGGATTCCCTCTTTACCACAGGGCCAGGTTGCACATTTTCCAAACTTTTATGCTCTGCTTCTCTTTTAATCATGTTTCAACTTTAAATCACTTCTGATTGTGGGGGCAAAGAAGCGACCATACCACCTCTTGAATCCTTTGCTGCTTAGAAATGTCTTCCTCTGGAGACTCTTAAGTTATTACTCCTAAATTAAACCTCCTACAAATCCTTAGGGCATTGGACACAATGCAGCCAAGTCTTTGCCAGGGTGTAACATGGGTGACCTTTGCTCAAGCTCACCAAAACTTTGTCATTTCCATCTAAGACCTCATTGGCCTGGCTTTCACTGTCCATATTTCTGTCAACATTTTGGTTTCAATCACTTAACCACTCTCTAAAAAGTTCTAATTTTCCTCATCTCCCTGTCTTTTTCTGAGCCCTTGAAAGTCTTCCAGCTTCTGCATGTTACCCAGTTCCAAAGCTGCTTTCACATTTTCAGGTATCTTTATAGCAACACCCCACTCCTCAGTGCCAATTTTATGTATTATTCCATTTTTCCATTGATATAAAGTAATACCTAAGACTGGGTAGTTTATAAAGAAAGTAGGTTTATTTGACTCACGGTTCTGCAGGCTGTACAAGCATGGCACCGGCAGCTGCTTGGCTTCTGGTGATGCCTCAGACGGAAGGCAGAGGGGGAACAGGCAAGCCACATGGTGAGAGAGGGAGTCAGAGAGAGGAGGAGGAAGGTCCAGCCTCTTAAATACCCGGCTCTCCTGTGAACCAACAGAGAACTCATTACTTCAAGGACAGCACTGAGTCATTTATGAGATATCTGCCTCCATGACCCAGATGCCTTCCCCTAGGCCCACCTCCAACATTGGAGGTCACATTTAAACATGAGATTTGGAGGAAACACACAGCCAAACCGTATCAACTGGTAATGTTTGTGGATGTAAAACTCATAAATTACTGGGGATCCCTAAGCCTGGGCACCCAGGAGATGTTCTCAAACTTGAGCAGCTCACCAATTTCAGTTTGGTTTTTCCTATACACGTACTGCTACTCTTAGAGGATTCTTATGGTTTTCTCATCAAGTGAGTTACGATTCTCTGGATGTGCCTCTCTGTCTCTCTAATTTGGTTTGGTAGTTTTTACTGGGAACTCAGTTCTTTAATGGTTAATCTTAGAATTGTTTAGTTAAATTTATTTGCCTTTTATTGTGAATGTGAATGTTGCTTTTTTTTTTTAACTTTTGTGTTCTGGGGGGTACATATGCAGATTTGTTACATGAGTAAATTTCATGTTTCTGTGTTTTGCTGCATAAATGATTTTGTCACATAGATAGTGAGCATAGTGCCTGATAGGTAGTTTTTTGACTCTCACTTTCCTCCCATTCTCCCCCTCAGGTAGGCCCCAGTGTCTGTTGCTCCCATCTTTGTGTCCATGTATACTCAACAGTTAGCTTCCATTTATAAATGAGAACATGTGGTATTTGGTTTTCTGTCAATGCATTAATTTGCTTATGATAATGGCCTCCAGCTGTGGCCATGTTTATGCACAGGACATGATTTAATTTCTTATAGCTGCATAGTATTCCATGGTGTATATGTACCACTTTTTAAAAAATCCAGTCCACTATTGATGGGCATTTGGATTGATTCCGTGTCTTTGATATTGTGAATAGTGCTGTGATGAACATACAGGTACATGTGTCTTCTTGGTAGAACAACTTATATTCCTTTGGGTGTGTATCCAGTAATGGGATTGCTGGGTCAAAAGGTAGTTCTGTTTTAAGTTTTTTGAGAAATCTTCAAACTGCTTTTCACAATGGCTGAACTAATTTACATTCCCACCAGCAGTGTGTAAGTGCTCCATTTTCTGCGCTACTTTGCCACCATCTGTTAAAGACTCTAATAATAGCCTGAATGTTGCCTTTGTTTTTTGGGGTTTTTTTTTTCCAATTATTTCTCCTTTTATTGCTCCTTCCGTGAACCTTGACAGTCTCCTTTGGTGGTCTCAGGAAATCTTTTCAACATAAATTATTTCTCAAGCAAAGGAAAATTTACTTTGAGCATTAAGACACATACATAGTTCTGCTGTATTTGTTAAATGGCTCTTGGAGCATTTGATCCTTGGTTGAAGGCAGAAGATACCCACATTGGTTTGAGGAGCATTGTCTTCTGAAATCTTTTTGTAAATCACTCTTCTTAAGAAGTTCTCTTTTTCGGTGTTTACCCAGGTTTTCAAGAAGTTGTTCAAAAACTCACATAAGGTGCTAGACTGGTCTTATATCTCTGGTTCTATGTTTAATATCAGATTCAGTTTAATTCTCCTTTTTTCCTCTTCATTAGTGGAAATGGCATCCAGTTCATGGCAGATGAGGCTTATGGTTGGAACAGTAAATGGATCAAACCGATCCAGTTTCTGCAAATCAGTAGGCACAGAAATGCGACCTGTTTTAGGATGAACGCTAAAAGGGCTCTGCGGTAAATGATTGATTTCTTTGTTGACATTGATACCCCATCGTGGAAACAGTCCTGGAGCATAATCTCCCACTGCAGCCAGGATCCACATTTTGATTTTTGATGTTATTCTGACATCTGCTGGTGCTCCCAATGCTGAAGTGAATTGTGAGACTTTTGGAAGCTTTGTTGAAGTTCATCCTGAATTGTTTCAGGAACAAGGGCTAAAATCTTATCCCAGCTTTTGTTATTTTTGAGAATATCTTGATTAACCAAGGCATATTCTTCAAAGTTTTTTTTATTATGTTTATAGATTTTCTGACAAAAGGGTGAATTTTTTCAGTTAGGTGAACTTTCTTTTTAACATCTTGACCATGCTTTACAAGGCTCAAATACTCAACTATCCCAGAATATACCACCGAAGACAGTTTTCTAACTGATTTATCACAGACCAAACAATGTACACCCCTCCTTCCAGAATATACCCAGAGACAATGCTTAAATCCAAAGTCCTCCTTCAGTGCTGTGTTAGTGATGCGTATGGCCCTTGTCATGAGGGTCCAGCACGTAGAACATGTATCTGCAGAACTACAGCATCTCCTCACATTGTCATGTCTGTCATGTCAGTGTCAAACACCAGTTCTTTTTCCTGAGCCTGGAAAGCTCCCAGCCTCACTGTATTGTGTTGATTGGGTCTGTGGGAATATACTGCACCTATATCAATCTTGTATGGATTCACTTTCTGCATCTCCTTTTCCAGATCACTCTGGTTGTTGAAGGATTGGTATCGAATGTAATGTCATCTTTCAATGTGAATGAAAATTCACAGTGTTGGGAGTAATTCTTTATCACTCTGCTGTAGTTGAGCCAGTTACAGTACAGAGAATAGGGAAAGAGCCTCTGGTAATAACATTTCAGTAGCTCAGACAGCGTGGTGGGGTCAGACATTTTCATGGAACTCAGAACTCAACCTAGGAAGCTTGACCATTGCCTTTTATGCCTACTTGCTCTACTGGAAATCAGAAGTGTCTGTCTCCATTTTTTTCTTTAATTCACTGCTGTCAACTTTTAATCCTAAACTTACTTTCTTCTACTTCTGACGTCACATCAGGATATGGTGAAAACAAGCCTGGGTGCTCTCTCTGGGTTTTGGCAGCAGATTGAAACCATGTAAATCTTTTCCCTTGAAACTGAATTCTCATCCTAGCTTTCCACCTACCCTCAACAGAAAACACAGGCCTGGCTCCTTTTCTTCCTCATTCAAACCATATCAAACCACCTTGAAAGGCCTGACCTAATGGATCCACAAGTGTCAATTTTCTGAGTAATAATTTCCTACCCTTTCCAAACACATCTCTGCCCGTGACCATCGCACTTAGTACCACTAGCAGAATGTTCAGACATTGCCCACCACCATGTGGTTCTGTCTTCTCTCGCAATGACTTGCTAATCGGTTCTGCCGCCTGGTATCTGGTGTGTACTTTAGCTGCTTGCTGAGCAACTAGCACTGTGAGCTGTGCTGCTCAATTTACTTATTTCTGTGAAATCTGTAAATCACGACTCAGATCACGTTATAAGGCAAAGAAACATAAAAATTGTGTTCTTTTACATTTTAATTAATTTTTAAGTTTTCTATTAAGAAATACAGTAAGAATGAGTAAAACATTTGTCAAGAGTTTTAGTAACAATAGTTGAAGCAACTTGGAAATTATAATTAAGATTCTTAACTGGGCCTCCTACAGTCATTAAGAGTTTTCTGATGGTTCCCACCTAGACTTATCTCTTAGTTGACCACTGTTGTGATTGTTTGGCTACTTTTTTGCATTTTTATCATCTGTAATTTTTCAGTTCCATTTTGCTTTACTTGAACTTTCTAAAATGAGTATGAATGGAATTAAAACAAAAAGGTTTATTGGTGATTTCCTTGTGTCAGTATGTTTCACACATGCTAGTGCCTGAGGCTGTGGACCATTTAATTCAGCCGTCCATTTTAATGATTCTGATGTGAGGGCTTTTTCAATTGTATTTTTTTGCTTTTGGGAAAAATAATGCTCCTATGATTTTATGCCACATCTCCAAGTGCAAATGCACCGTAAATTCTCTGGACATTTTAGAAAAATTAATGGGCTACACATTGTGGTAAGTTCAAATTAGAGCAATGGAGGGTATCAGTTGACTCCTCCTTCCTTCGTGAGTAACCCGTTTGCCATGGCCGTCATCACATGGAGTTGATTTTTTTCTTCTAGTCAATTTCAAATGTCATATACCTGACTATTTTCTATTTTCTCATTACCAAGGAAGTTGACTTTTTAAAAAAATAGGTGGTCTTTCATCTTCTTTTAAGTATGCTTTGCTTATTTTCTCACTTTTAAATCGTGTTCATTTTTACACTTCATACTAATTCTTTTATATTGCATGTATTACAGTTTTTTCCCACTGCTTTTTGCCTTTTAATTTCCTGAATATTAATATATGTGAATTTGCCAGTTCCTTTTTTTCTGTTTAAATGAATTCTGCCCATTTTTCTGTCCAAAAATACCCCTGTTTTCCTTCGAAGTCTGAACGTATTTTAGTTTTGTCTTTCATATTTGAAATAAAGAACTTGATTATTGTTCATGGAATAGAGGGGAATGCAATGTACTTTTTCAGTTAGTACCAATTTGCTCTACTGTATGTTTTAAAGTGCTTTTGATTTCTTCCACTATTCTGGAATGCTCTGTCATTAATGAACTTTACATACAAAATTCCTGCTTACAGGCCAGGCACAGTGGCTTGTAAGCCCAGCACTTTGGGAGGCCAAGGCAGGCAGATTACCTGAGGTCAGGAGTTCAAGATCAGCCTGGGCAACATGGTGAAACCCTGTCTCTACTAAAAATACAAAATCAGCTGGGCGTGGTGACACATGCCTGTAATCTCAGCTACTCGGGAGGCTGAGGCAGGAGAATCGCTTGAACCTGGGAGGCAGCGGAGGATGTGGTGAGCCGAGATCACGCCATTGCACTCCAGCCCGGGCAACAAGAGTAAATCTCCATCTCACCAAAAAAATAAAATAAAAAAATAAAATAAAAATAAATTCCTGCTTATTTAAAACTTTTTTCCCTTTTGGACTATTTGTTTATCTCCACATTAATACTGTCCTGAATATTATAGTTTGAAAATTCTGATACATGGTAAGGAAGCCATTGCCCTATTGTTTGGAAGACTTTGACAATTCTTAGACATTTTTTTTTTGTTAGGTTTGGAAAAGTAGTTTTCAGTTGCTAATAAAGTGTCTGTTTTGGGGATTGATGGAATTTTTTAAGGCTATTTGAAAGAGGTGATATCTTGATGACATTGAGTTTCTTCTAAGCACACGTACTATCTTTCCACTTACTCCATTGCACTTTGTTGTTATCCAATAGAAATTTTAAAATTGTTTTGTTTGTTATTAAAGATAAATTATCAGTCTTATTTACAACTGGGTTTAATTTGGTCTGGAGTAAACTACTTGCAAGCTTCCAAATATTTTCTTATTATAATCACGTTGATGCCTCATTTCTCCAGTTAACAAGTTGTAACAGCATATGAGAAATATTGTTTACCAAGAATGCTCATTAGAGACTTAATGCTCAGAGTGTTTTTCAGAGCTGATCCCCTAGGTACCACTGCAAGAATGGAGTAAAGTAGTAGGCTTTCAGAAACAAAACAAAACTGGAGTTCAGCGAATAATATATTGTTTGCATAAGATTGTTTACATATTGTGAACCACTCACTTAGGGTGATGAGATCCGTCAAAAAAATCTATTTTCTCACACCAAAAGGTCAGACTTTGTGAGCAGGTATTTCTAAGGATATGTAGTCTTAAGACTTAATACTAACTGTTATACACAACAAATAGCATGACTTCGTTATGAGAGGCCCTTAAGATAAAATCTACACATAGAAATTAGGGGTGACCTCATTTCTTACAGCACAGTTTATTCCCTGCACCTGCCAATGAGACAGGTGTTCCTACTCTGCTGTTGACTTTCTGAATAGTTTCATTTTAGCATGAAGAATGTTGAGTGGGCAGCAGTAAGTGCAGACAGAGAGTAAAGTTCTGATGACCAGGTCATGGAAGAAATGTTTGAAGTCTGCAGAATTATGTTACGATTTTATGAGATGAGTATAGATTCTTAGTACTGTCTGTCTAAGCCATCCTCCTCTCCACATATGTGCGATATTCTAGGATTCAGTGTCATTTGAAGATGTGGCTGTGGCCTTTACTCAGGAGGAGTGGGCTTTGCTGGATCCTTCTCAAAAGAATCTCTACAGAGATGTGATGCAAGAAATCTTCAGGAACCTGGCTTCTGTAGGTAAGAATAACAACACTTATTCACGTAGTTGATTACAACGCAAGTGTTTTGGCTGGGCGTGGTGGCTCACACCTGTAATCCCAGCACTTTGGGAGGCCAAGGCGGGTGAATCGCCTGAGGTCAGGAGTTCAAGACCAGCCTGGCCAACATGGTGAAACCCCATCTCTACCAAAAAAATAAAAAAATTAGCCAGGCGTGGTAGCAGGCGCCTGTAATCCCAGCTACTTGGGAGCCTGAGACAGGTTAATTGCTGGAACCTAGGAAGTGGAGGTTGCAGTGAGCCGAGATTGAGCCACTGCACTCCAGCCTGGTCAACGAAGAAACAATCTGTCTCAAAAAAAAAAAAAAAAGAAAGAAAGAAAAAAGAAAAGAAGAAGAAAACAAGTGTTTCTTGGTTATGAATGTTTCCTGATTTGGCATGTGGAAAGGGAGTACTTTGGTGAAAAAAATTAGTTATGGTCACAGTGTATAGTGAACCTTGAATCTAGCAATTTTTAAAGTTTCTAATCATTTGAATAATCTTATGGTTGTACCTTTTAGGAAACAAATCAGAAGACCAGAATATCCAAGATGACTTCAAAAATCCTGGGAGAAATCTAAGGTAATTTGCATTCACAAGAGCAAAAATGCCCCTTGAGGGAATCTTAGCATGTCATAAGTTTTTAAAACAGACAAAACAACTAAGAACCACTAGAAATTTTTTTTTTCCAGAAAAGTCTTAGCAAAAAATACACCTGAATGTAACATTGATGTTCAATATTTTCAGAATATTTTACTTGGAAACACCACCAAGATACTGTACATGTGACTATCACAATTATGATAATAATGATAATAGCTATGGGGGACCCATATCTTACAGTAATTAATTTATTTACTTTAAAACAATTTAGATATGGCAGGAAACTTGCATTTTCCATGGTATTAGTAGCAATGTAAACCATGAATAAATGTACCATTAATGATGTTTATCATTTTTACAGCAGTCATGTGGTAGAGAGACTGTTTGAAATTAAAGAAGGCAGTCAATATGGAGAAACCTTCAGCCAGGATTCAAATTTGAATCTGAATAAGAAAGTTTCTACTGGAGTAAAGCCATGTGAATGCAGTGTGTGTGGAAAAGTCTTCATATGTCATTCAGCCCTTCATAGGCACATCCTGTCTCACATTGGAAACAAACTATTTGAGTGTGAGGAATGTCCAGAGAAGTTATATCATTGCAAACAATGTGGGAAAGCCTTTATCTCTCTCACCAGTGTTGACAGACACATGGTAACACACACTAGTAATGGGCCTTATAAGGGTCCAGTGTATGAGAAGCCTTTTGATTTTCCTAGTGTATTTCAAATGCCTCAGAGCACTTACACTGGAGAGAAAACATATAAATGTAAACATTGTGATAAAGCCTTCAATTATTCAAGTTATCTTCGTGAACATGAAAGAACTCATACTGGAGAGAAACCCTATGCATGTAAGAAATGTGGTAAATCATTCACTTTTTCCAGTTCTCTTCGCCAACATGAAAGATCTCATACTGGAGAGAAACCCTATGAATGTAAGGAATGTGGCAAAGCCTTCAGTCGTTCCACTTACTTGGGAATACATGAAAGAACGCATACTGGAGAAAAACCCTATGAATGTATAAAATGTGGCAAAGCCTTTAGATGTTCCAGAGTCCTCAGAGTCCATGAAAGGACTCACAGTGGAGAAAAGCCCTATGAATGTAAACAATGTGGTAAAGCCTTCAAATATTCTAGTAACCTATGTGAGCATGAAAGAACTCACACTGGAGTGAAACCTTATGGATGTAAGGAATGTGGTAAGTCGTTTACTTCTTCCAGTGCCCTTCGAAGCCATGAAAGGACTCATACTGGAGAAAAACCCTATGAATGTAAGAAATGTGGTAAAGCCTTCAGTTGTTCCAGTTCCCTTCGAAAGCATGAAAGAGCTTATATGTGGTAAAAAACAACAACAACAAAACACCTCTGTCAATGTAAGAAGTGTGTTAAAGCTTTCAGTTATTCTAGTTTCATTAGAACACGTGAAAAAATTAAAAACTCAAATTAGAGAGAAACCCAACACATGTAAGGAAGATTAGAATGTATGCAATTTTCCTAGTTCCCTTCTAAAACTTAGAAGGACCCGTCCTGGGAAAGAACGTCATAAAATACGAAAAATGTGTTAGAACACTTTATTTTCCCAGCCGCTTTCAAATATATTTTTATCAGTGGTTCATTGTTAAAGAAGGTGTCTATACTTTAGATTTTCAGTTTTTTGCAGGGAATCATGGAGCTGAGAATTTCACAGATACTTTATAAGCCATAGTACATGAGCTTAATAGGCTGTGTTTTGTTTCTCATCAGTTAACATAATTTTTGTCTATTCATTTAAAAATTTGTTGGATCCCTAGACTAAGTTGAAATGTATTTCTAATAGTAGGCAATTTTAATTTTCATGTAGTTGTTTAATTGTTCTCTAATTAATGGACCAATGAAAAATGAGTTCATGTGTGTGTGTGTGTGTGTGTGTGTGTGTGTGTATTCTACCTTTTTATGGGAAAACTACTTTTTTGTTGTAAAGATTTTCTTCTGTTTTCTTTGCTAATAAAGAATTGTTATTAATTTGCATGTATGTGAAGTTTATATAGTCTCATGTACATTGTTATTTTCATTTTCTTTCCTTTATTCTGTCATGAGTTTTGGCTGTTACTTGCATAGTTCACTTTTTTAAAAAATGTTATGTTTTTAGAGAGGGTCTCACTTTGTCAGCTAGGCTGAAGTGTAGTGGTAATAATAGTCTTAGCTCACTGCAGCCTCAAATTCCTGGGCTCAAGTGATTCTCCCACCTTAGCCTCCTATGTAGCTGGAGCTACAGACACATGCCACCATGCTCAGCTAATTATATAATTTTAAAAATTTTTTATAGAGATGGGATCTCGCTGTATTGTCTAGGCTGGTATTGAATTCCTGGCCTCAAGCTATCCTCCTGCCTCAGCCTGTCTACATGTTGGGGTTACTGACATGAGCTACCACACCTGGCCCACTTTTTACTTTGAATTAAGAAGAGAGAACTGTGATTGGACAGTATGCTTGTCTAATCTGCGTGTGAAAGCATTCAGTCTCACCATCAAGTATATTGTGGATTTTTCATAAATATTCTCAAACAGGCTCAGGAAGTTTTCTTGTGTTTTTTATTTATTGTTTCATGGTAAAGGAGTGTTGAACTCTTATGACATGTTTTTTTCTGCATCTATTGAGATGATTTGTGGTTTTTGGCATTCTACTGATAGTCTATTACGTTAACTGGCTTTCAGATATAAATATATTATGGTTATCTGGGTGAAATTTGTCTTCATCATGGAATATAAGTATTTTATCTACAGGTTGAACATCTGTAAACCCCAGATTCCAATACCAAATCTGAAATGCTCCGAAGTCAAAAACTGTTTGAGCACCAGTCTTATGCTCAACAGAAATGCTCATTAGAGGATTTTTGATATTTGGATTAGGGATGCTCATCCAGTAAGTTTTCTGCAAATATTCCAAAATGTTAAAAGTCTGAAATCCAAAGCACTTCCGTTCCCAAGTATTTCAGATAAGAAACACTCAACCCATATTGATAACGTTCAATTTTCCAGTGTATTGTTGGGGCCTTTTGCATTTATAGTCAAATTGGTGTGCCCTAGTATACCATATAGTATAGCATCATCTGTATATATAGCATGTCTACATGTATACTTATATGTGTATAAGTAGCTATATAATATGTGGTATAGTACAGTTTTGTAAGTTACTATGAATTATGCATAACTAGTTTATATTATGTGTAATTAGCACTACAATAAATTGTATATTACAGGATTATGGCATTATAACATACTATTTTGATCTTATCAGTCTGTAGCCTAACATATTTCAGTTGCCTACCATTCCACAGATGCATTTAAACAAACCAATTGCATCCTTATGAGAACCAAGAAGCATCTCACGTTCTTGATACTACAAAGCATTCCCCTTACACCCTGTTTGTTCTATCTGCTCCGTAGTGCAAGTCTTGTGTGGACCAGCCTCGTTTACAGAACCCTCCCTTTTTTGTCTATGAATGTATGTAACTAATAACTTCTCTCAATCTTATCTGTACACTCATGGGTGTCACGTGTTTTTCCCAGTAGTCTTAGGGTCCTAATTTTTCCTGTCACCCATGAGACTGTGAAAACAATTGGCATTACCAACAGAATGAACCAACCATGACTGATGATATCTTTTCAGCTTTAACTACCTGCTTTTGTCTAACTGGTTCCATAATATAACAGAAGTCACCTGAATTAGAAACAGCAATTGATGGTGGACTTTCACTTTGGTCTACACAGTGCTTTGTGTTATCAGCTGTTGCCACCTCTTCCCACAGTAGAACTCTCAACTCCTAGACATGACTGGTTGACCAGCCGTTCCCCAGGAGGATGTATGTTCCACCTTGACCTGTGTTTGGCAGGCAGTTTCCAAGGTACCCCACATTGAGGCAGTGACCCAGCACCTTCACCACTGGGTTCTTTATTCCTGATTATCAAAAGTCAGACTACTGCTCTGTGGTAACTGCATCTCGTTTGGTTGCCATCACTGGATGCTTGGAGTAGCCATGTGAACGTTATTACTGTACACACTTGGGACAGCTCCAGGGATTTTGTGTGTGTGAAGTTGCAGAAAGGAAGAATGTCCCCATGCTGGGGAGAATTAAGCATGTCACCTAATTGTGTAACAAGATGACTTGTGCAAGACTAGTGGCCTTGAGTGTTTTCTTGTGCTGTTGCTTTTATGTGCATTCTTCTGATGAGGTGCACATCCATGGTGCCTCTTGGTCCAGGCACTGATGAGTCAAGAAAAGGGGAGGAAGCATTTGGCATTAGCCTCTTTCATTGCAGAACCTCTATCTAGTATATGGGCTTCTTTTAGCACTACTGATCAGCATGCCAAAGGCCTAACCTTGCAACCTAGATGACCTTAGTCAAAATGACCTTACTGTATGTTGCTAACACCAGCAAGATTGAGTGGCACTCACTGGAGGATTAGGTGTTCTTCAATGTGGGTTGACGGACTCCTGAACTGTTTTCTTTAACCACACAGATTGCCCACACTACCGATAAATCAAATGCTGCTACTTTGCATGAGAAGAATTAAAAGATAGTCTGAAGCAGTTTTTATAGAAAGAAGACAAAAGCAGTCATGAGTCATGCTGTGGTCCAGAAACCTAATAGCAGATGGCCAACTGGGACACTGAAATTTCTGTACTGCTACTGCCTATGTTTCTATCACAACAAATATCCTGATCCCTCACTGTTAAGGATTCAGAACTGTCCTCCAAGTTTTATTGGACTGGTCCGGTTCTACCCTCTTTCTTACTTGCAGTTTTCAAGAATAAGTGTAGAATGTGCTGGGAATGGAATATCCTGATATCAGAAGAGAATGGTAGAACAGCCCAGACTTAACAGTCTTCACAAGAAATACAATCTCTCAACACTTTTGGTCAGTGAGTCAGGTGATCCTGGGCTATAAAACCTGGGCTGGGCTATTTTCTGGAGTCTCTTAACTGTGTTGCAAGTGGGGCACATGCAATCAAAATTCCATCCTTCCAGGCAACTTCTCTGAACCTCAGGGGGACCACATCACACTGAATTTTAGACTTCTCATCTTCGATCCCTTTATAAGTAATAAATCAACTTATGTAATATGTGCATGAATGTGTTCTCTCTCATCATACTCAGACAAGCTGATAACAGTACACAGTGAGCCTGCTTTGGGGAGAAACAACCATGGTACCCATATGACACAGCAAAGGAGTTAATTCAAACATAAACCTAGAATTCTTTTTTTTTTCTTTTTGAGACGGAGTCTTGCTCTGTCGCCCAGGCTGGAGTGCAGTGGCACGATCTCGGCTCACTGCAAACTCCACCTCCCGGGTTCATGCCATTCTTGCCTCAGCCTCCCAAGTAGCTGGGACTACAGGCGCCCGCCACCATGCCCGGCTAATTTTGTTTTTGCATTTTTTGTAGAGATGGAGTTTCACTTTGTTAGCCAGGCTGGTCTCAATTTCCTGACCTCGTGATTGTCCACCTTGGCCTCCCAAAGTGCTGGATTTACAGGTGTGAGCCACTGTGCCCAGCCAAACCTAGAATTCTTGAACCCCACCAACACAGCTATTACCTTGTAGGAGACATGCAACAATGGCAATGTTGGTTTTAGCCTTTCTGGAAGAATACATTGATAAATATGAATAGGGTACACAGACATTCACCCACTGGCCTCAAAGGAGTTCCTACCCAAGAGAAAGTTTTACAATTTGACCCGATTGGGAATCTGAAGTTTACTAAATAATATATAAAACTAGATAATTGGGTGCTGATTAGGTTATATGCTTCTGCAAAATGGCCTCTGAATTAATTTTTTTTTTCCCAAGGCAGAAGTATTTTTATTAGTACAGAACAAAATGAAAAGTCTCCCATGTCTACTTCTTTCTACACAGACACAGCAACCATCCGATTTCTCAATCTTTTCCCCACCTTTCCCCCTTTTCTATTCCACAAAATCGCCATTGTCATCATGGCCCGTTCTCAATGAGCTGTTGGGTACACCTCCCAGACGGGGTGGTGGCCGGGCAGAGGGGCTCCTCACTTCCCAGTAGGGGCGGCCGGGCAGAGGTGCCCCTCACCTCCTGGACGGGGCGGCTGGCCGGGCGGGGGCTGACCCCCCACCTCCCTCCAGGACGGGGCGGCTGGCCGGGCGGGGGCTGACCCCCCACCTCCCTCCCGGACGGGGCGGCTGGCCGGGTGGGGGCTGACCCCCCACCTCCCTCCTGGAGGTGGCGGCTGGCCGGGCTGGGTCTGAACCCCCATCTCTCTCCCGTACGGGGCGGGTGGCCGGGCAGGGGCTGACCCCCCACCTCCCTCCCAGAAGGGGTGGCTGGCCGGGCGGGGGCTGACCCCCACCTCCCTCCCGGACGGGGTGGCTGCCAGGCGGAGACGCTCCTCACTTCCCAGACGGGGTGGCTGCCGGGCGGAGGGGCTCCTCACTTCTCAGATGGGGCGGCTGCCGGGCGGAGGGTCTCCTCACTTCTTAGACGGGGTGGCCGGGCAGAGACGCTCCTCACCTCCCAGACGGGGTCGTGGCCGGGCAGAGGCGCTCCTCACATCCCAGACGGGGCAGCGGGGCAGAGGCGCTCCCCACATCTCAGACGATGGGCGGCCGGGCAGAGACACTCCTCACTTCCTAGATGGGATGGCGGCTGGGAAGAGGTGCTCCTCACTTCCTAGATGGGATGGCGGCCGGGCAGAGATGCTCCTCACTTTCCAGACTGGGCAGCCAGGCAGAGGGGCTCCTCACATCCCAGACGATGGGCGGCCAGGCAGAGACGCTCCTCACTTCCCAGACGGGGTGGCGGCCGGGCAGAGGCTGCAATCTCGGCACTTTGGGAGGCCAAGGCAGGCGGCTGGGAGGTGGAGGTTGTAGCGAGCCGAGATCACGCCACTGCACTCCAGCCTGGGCACCATTGAGCACTGAGTGAACGAGACTCCGTCTGCAATCCCGGCACCTTGGGAGGCTGAGGCTGGCGGGTCACTCGCGGTTAGGAGCTGGAGACCAGCCCGGCCAACACAACGAAACCCCGTCTCCACCAAAAAAATATGAAAACCAGTCAGGCGTGGCGGCGCGCGCCTGCAATCGCAGGCACTGGGCAGGTTGAGGCAGGAGAATCAGGCAGGGAGGTTGCAGTGAGCCGAAATGGCAGCAGCACAGTCCAGCTTCGGCTCAGCATCAGAGGGAGACCGTGGAAAGAGAGGGAGAGGGAGACCGTGGGGAGAGGGAGAGGGAGAGGGCCTATGAATTAATTTAAAAATCTGTTGAAATGCATCAATTGGGAAACCTTAATGTCCTTAATCAATACAGGTTACAAAAGAATTATACTGGTGATGCCACAACATTTAACTACAGTTCCCCTATGATCTTAGAGGGAATTACTGTATATAAAACAGGAATGCTATCTTTTAATTAAAAAAACCAGTATCATGTAGCCTAAATTCTCCACAGTCATAGCACCCATTGTGCTATGATAGACCGTAGTTGACATGGATTCCCTGATCCAATGAGTAATACAGTTGTTTGCTACTTCTACATGTTCTTGACAAAGTGGGAGCCCCTGAACCCCACTAGTTAAAATAAGTTAACATGGTTGAACATAAGTTTTTCTGAAGGTTACTAGGTAAATACTGATTCCATTTCATTAATAGATACAGTATTATCTCCTTTTGTGGGTTTTGGTGGATTGTGCCTGAAGGAATTGGTTCCATTGATCTGGGTTATCATATTTATGGGAATACAGCTGTCTATAGTATTCTTTTTTTTTTTTTTATTTGAGACGGAGTCTTACTCTGTCGCCCAGGCTGGAGTGCAGTGGCGTGATCTTGGCTCACTGCAAGCTCCGCCTCCTGGGTTCATGCCATTCTCCTGCCTCAGCCTCCTGCGTAGCTGGGACTACAGGTGCCCACCACCAAGCCCAGCTAATTTTTTTGTATTTTTGGTAGAGATGGGGTTTCACCATGGTCTCGATCTCCTGACCTCATGATCAGACCACCTCAGCCTCCCAAAGTGCTGGGGTTACAGGCGTGAGCCACCACACCCGGCAGTATTTTTTTTTTGTAATCCTTTTAATGCCCATGGGGTCAGGAATGCTGGTCTGTCATTCATTTTTTATATTTGTCTTTTTTTAAAATCTTTTTTTCTTGGTTATCCTGACAATATTTATTAATTTTATTAATCTTTTTCAAACAACCAGTTTTTGTTCTATTGATTTTTCTCTTGATTTTCTATTTTCAGTTTCATTTATTTGCGGTGCAATTGTTTCGATTTTTCTTTTGACTAATTTAGGTTTATTTTGCTCTTTCTTTAGTGTCTTAAAGTGGAATATTATTGATTTTATTTTTTAAATATTTGCATTCAGTGCTATAAATTTCAAAGCACTGCTTTCACTGCATCCCAGAAATTTTGACAAGGTGTACTTTCACTTTCAATACATTTAAAATACTTAATAAATTTTAAAAGAACATATTTTTACTATGTCCCGCTGCATCTTAACATGAGTTATAATTCAGTTTTGGTAGCAAAAGATTAGAAACCATTTTTAAGTGTCTTTCTAAATAATCAGTTGCATAGCCTGATCATTACACACACCTATATAAAAATGAGCAGCAGTGACGAGACCAGCTCAGTCAGGGAGACCCTAACCCAGCAACGCTAGAGGAATTAAAGACACACACACACAAATATAGAGGTGTGAAGTGGGAAATCGGGGTCTCACAGCCTTCAGAGCTGAGAGCCCCGAACAGAGATTTACCCACGTGTTTATTAACAGCAAGCCAGTCATTAGCATTGTTTCTGTAGATATTAAATTAACTGAAAGTATCCCTTATGGGAAACGAAGGGATGGGCCAAATTAAAGGAATAGGTTGGGCTAGGTAACTGCAGCAGGAGCATGTCCTTAAGGCACAGATCGCTCATGCTATTGTTTGTGGCTTCAGAATGCCTTTAAGCAGTTTTCTGCCCTGGGTGGGCCAGGTGTTCCTTGCCCTCATTCCTGTAAACCCACAACCTTCCAGCGCAGGCATTAAGGCCATTATGAACATGTCAGAGTGCTGCAGAGATTCTGTTTATGGCCAGTTTTGGGGCCAGTTTATGGCCAGATTTTGAGGGGCTTGCTCCCAACATGTCCCCCTTCTTTGATTTGCAAATTGATAAAAGCAAAGGCAGCTTTGTCATGGTGAGCTACTTCTCGCAGGAGTCAGGATCCACATCTGCAGACTATACGAAGACAAGCAACACAGATTAAAAGCACAATCATCATTGAAATCACAGAGATTCCAAGTGTTTTTATCCATTTTAATGGGTTACTAGCTGCTAATTTGTCTGCAGCTCCTTCAAGCACTCCAGTTCCTGGCATTAAGGTCAGATGTGCCTGGGATGCTTTAAATATTTGTTCTTTTAATTTTGTGATATCCAAAAACAAGTTTGTAGAGTGTCCTTCTAGATGCTTTTTTATTCTTTCCCAAATTTTTATCTTATTAAGAGCATTTAAAAGTTTCCACAAATCCTTATGTTTAGCTCCTACAACGGGCCATATCATTTGAGGTTGAGATGCCATTATACCGCCATGATTCCAGATAATAGGAACTCTTGCTATACTTCTTATCATTTCTGCCATCTGACCATTTTGTTCAGACCAGCTGAACATAATGTGGCCATGGCACGCAGACTGAGAGGTGCAATTTAAGCTAAACATCCCCTTAGGGGACAATCAATAATGATTCCATAGGAATTGTTGTGCAGCACCTCTGCCTCTTCTGCAATGCAATCTTCCTAAACAAGTACATTCTTTTTTTCTGGCCAGGTTCAATTTTGTTTACAAATAGGTTTTTGAGGGCAGTATGCCTCAATTATAGGAGCAAATTTATTATGGTAAAAACTGAGATCAGAAAACATGTGTAACTGTGTCATAGTGATTACATCCAGGCATTATTACCAGCCAAGATTGATAAATATGCCCAGTAAGTGTAATTGTTCTCTGTGTCAGCCCTTGTTGAAGGAATACTCACAGCAGTGGTGATAACCACTATCATAGCTACCATTAAATTACTCATTGTGACTGGTTGTCCCGCTTTCCTCAGGTTTTCTTCCGCCATCTGTGACAGCTTCTTGATCTGTCCCCAGTTGGGTGGCTGTGTTCAACAGGTGTTGCTCGTGACAGGTGGGGTCCTCCTCAGCATCAGTCTCGACATGGCTGCAACCAGGGGGGTCCTCGGGATCATCCCGGAATCTCTTCCTCTGCATCTGGCTCATGATAAAGTTTCAGGTGTCTTCGTGGTATCCAAATAGGCTGTTGATTTTGGCCTGGAGAAACACAAGCATAACCTCTACCCCAAGTTATTATTTTACCTATTTCCCAACTTTTTGTTATTGGATCTCTCCACCAAATCAGTTGTTCTGTTTCTGTCTTTGCAGGTGGTTTCTGTAGATGCTGTTCGGCTGCTGATAACATCTGGCCTTTGGGCAGGGTCAAAAAATTTAAAGTTAATAATGCTAGGTTCAGATGGATCTGTGGGGTTCCATATTCTCTGTCTCCCCCTTTCTGCTTTTGCAACTGCTCTTTTAGGGAGAGATTTATTCTTTCCACTATGGCTTGTCCTTGAGAATTGTATGGGATACCATTAATGTGTTCAATATTCCACATAGAGAAAAATGTAGCTAGATCTTGGCTAGTATAGCCTGGGGCATTATCTGTTTTAATAGAAGCTGGAATGCCCATCACCGCAAAACACTGCAAAAGATGACGTTTAACACCGGCAGAAGACTCTCCTGATTGGCATGTAGCCCAGACAAAGTGAGAAAAGGTGTCCACACATACATGTACATAAGCTAGTCTCCCAAACGAGGGAACATGTGTGACATCCATTTGCCAAAGAGAGTTAGGTTCCAATCCTCGAGGATTAACTCCTCATGTAAAAGATGAGGAATGTGCCATTTGGCAAGTTGGGCATCTCTGGATAATAGCTTTAGCTTCTTTCCAGGTAATACTGTATCTGCGTTTGAGACCAGAGGCATTAACATGGGTTAAATTGTGAAAGTGTCTAGCATTAGATATTGCAGTAGCAACTAGGCGATCAGCCATTTGATTCCCTTCGGTCAAAGGTCCTGGAAGAGGTGTATGAGCCCTAATGTGAGTTGATGTAAAAAGGATGCTTTGTACTTCTAACTGCTGTTTGCAGTTGGGTAAATAAAGTCATCAGTTGTTCATCTTTTTGAAATCGTAACTGAGCATTTTCAATTAACTGTGTGGAATGAACCACATGTGAGGAATCAGAAACCACATTAATAGGCATATCAAAATCAGTCAATACCTCAGTTACAGCTACAAGCTCCGCTTTTTGAGCTGAAGTGTAGGGCATCTGAAAAACTTTACTTTTCAAGCCAGAATAAGAAGCTTTACCATTACTAGACCCATCTGTAAAACAATGAAAACACTTAGCAGGCTGCAGGTTGTTTACTGCAGGAATTGTAAATGCAAACCATTCACAGTCTTGCTCAGCTAAGGGGATAGTAAAGAAACAGTCTTTTAAATCTATGACTATTAAAGGCCAATTTTTTGGAATTATAGCAGGAGAAGGCAATTCTGGCTGTAATGCTCCCATAGGTTGTATAACTGAATTGATGGCTCTTAAATCAGTTAACATTCTCCATTTACCTGATTTTTTCTTAATTACGAAAACTGGAGAATTCCAAGGGGAAAATGTTGGAGCTATGTGCCCATTTTTGAATTGTTCAGTAACTAATTTCTCTAAAGCCTCCAGTTTCTCTTAGCGGCCATTGTTCTGTCCAAATTGGCTTATCTGTTAACCATTTTAAAGGTATAGGTTCTGGAGGCTTAACAATGGCTGCCATCAAAAATGACATCCCAATCTTTGGCGGGAACTTTTTAAACCTTGCAAATTTTTTTCTAGTCCTGTACCAGGGACATACCCCATTTCATGCATCATATGTTGACTTTGAGGGCTATATAATTGTTCTGGAATTATAATTTGTGCTCCCCATTGTTGTAATAAATCTCTTCTGCATAAACTTATAGGTACAGAAGTTATAATTGGTTGAATAGTCCCAGGTTTTCCATCGGGCCCTTCACAATGCAAAATATAGCTACTTTGATATACTTCAGGGGCTTTACCAACTCCAACTATGTTAAATTGAGCAGGTTGAATTGGCCACGCGGATGGCCAGTGCTGTAGAGAAATGATTGAAATGTCCGCTCCTGTATCTACCAAACCTTTAAATTTCTCTCCCTGAATAGTTATTTCACAGGTAGGATGTTTATCAGTAATTTGATTCACACAATAAGCTGCTTTGCCTTGTTTATTTGTGGTTCCAAATCCTCCTGTTCGTTTAGTTTCACTTTTCCCCATTTCCACATATGGCACAATCAGGAGCTGTGCTATGCGCTCTCCTGGCTCTGCCTTCCAGGGAACAGAAGTAGATATAACAATTTGAATTTCCCCATTGTAATCTGAATCAATGACTCCTGTATGTATTTGTACGCCTTTTAAACTTAAACTACACCTTCCTAAAAGTAATCCTATTGTCCCCGCTGGCAAGGGTCCACAGACTCCTGTTGGGACCTTTTGCAGGGGTTCTCCAGGCAGAAGGCTCACAGCTTTTGTGCAGCATAAATCTACTGTGGCACTACTGGCTGTGGCGGGGGACAGACGTTGTACAGGGGTGAGGGAATGGCCTGAGCTGGAAATGCCCTGGTTTAGAACGGGTCCCGGGACGGGCCCCTCATGGTGTTTCCCGAAATTGGGTTCCCATCTTTATCAAACTTAGAGTGACACTGACTAGCCCAGTGTTTTTCTTTTTACATTTTGGACATATTTCAGGCTCAACAGTTTTCTTCTTTCCCCTATCTGGCGGCCTGACTCGCTGATTTTTTCTACATTCTTTTTCAGTATGACCATGCTTCCTACAGTTAAAACAAGCTCCAGGAAATGGAGTATTTCCTTTATCCACTATCAGTCCTGCTATTGCCTGTGCCAACAAAGTAGCTTTATGCAGATTACCTCTGATACCATCACAGGCCTTGATATAATCAACTAAATATGCTTTCCCCAATTTAAAAGGAAAAGGCTCAAATGTAGCTATAATATTTCCCTGTTGATCTGGGGGGTGTATTCTAACAGGGAACTGCCAAGCCTCTAAATCACCCTCTTGTCTAGCTTGCTGAATTCCTGCCTGAATAGAACTAAGAGGGGTTGCTCAAGGCGCTGCTCGAACAGTCACTGGGGCAACTACTTTTTGCCCAGTGTCCTCCAGAAAAGAAAGATCTGGAGGGTCATTTTCTTCAAGATAATAAGGAGGGGGTTCAGAAGGGTAGGGATGAACCTCTCCTTCCTTTGCCGCTTTAGCTTTAGCTGGTAAATAAACATGCTCTGTACCCTCTTCTGTTACTTTGCTGTACTCTCCTTCCTCCTCATCATCAGTGTGAAAAAGCTCCAAGGTGGAAGGAACCAGAGCCCACACTTGTCCCATTGTTACCCTGATGCTTCCGAGCTCCCCTTCTTACTTACCACGGGGATTGCTTTAAGAGTACTCTGGCGTCCTCCAGCTAGTTCCACATTCTCTAACTGTTGCTCTGGTGACCCTTCGACCTGGATTCAAGCCCCCACAATGGACGTCACTTGCGGAGACCAGCTTGGTTGGGGAGATCCTAACCCAGCAGTGCTAGAGGAATTAAAGACACACACACAGAAATACAGAGGTGTGAAGTGGGAAATCGGGGTCTCACAGCCTTCAGAGCTGAGAGCCCCGAACAAAGATTTATCCATGTATTTATTAACAGCAAGCCAGTCATTAGCATTGTTTCTATAGATATTAAATTAACTGAAAGTATCCCTTATGGGAAACGAAGGGATGGGCCTAATTAAAGGAATAGGTTGGGCTAGTTAACTGCAGCAGGAACATGTCCTTAAGGCACAGATTGCTCATGCTATTGTTTGTGGCTTAAGAATGCCTTTAAGTGGTTTTCCGCCCTGGGTGGGCCAGGTGTTCCTTGCCCTCATTCCTGTAAACCCACAACCTTCCAGCGCAGGTGTTAGGGCCATTATGAACATGTCAGAGTGCTGCAGAGATTCTGTTTATGGCCAGATTTTGGAGGGCTTGCTCCCAACACAGCAGCATTCACTGATACGTAAAGATCTATGGGATTAATAGAACAAATTTGCCAAATGTATTTCCAATGGATGTATCATCTAATTGATGATGCTAATTATGCACCCAGAGGGTATAAAGCGTTTATTACCTTCATAAATGACATCTTTAGAGACCAGGTCAGGCCCCTCAGGTAGGTGCAAAGTGGCTTGAGAGAGTTAAAAAAGAAAAAAGAAATTGACCTGTATTTTAATTTTTAGAGGTTTATTGTTTGGGGCCATGGTGAGAGTTTGTATTTACATAAGCCCCAGCAGGAGATCGTGCAGTTCGATTTTCATGCTGGCACCAAATAAGGGAGCACCTGGGCTTTCTTACTGCCTTTTCTAGAAGTGAGTCATAAGGGCAAAAATAAGATATTAGGCACCAAACGTGTCAGCAGTGAAACCTCAGAACATAAAATCAGAGACCTTCAGTTTCTGGTCTACCATGTAAAGAATGTAGAGGCCATTATTCCCACTTCTGCATGAAAAATTCTGGGGGACCAGGCCAAGATGGCTGACTAGAAGCAGGGGCGCTGGGAGGCTCTCATTGTGAAAAAACATGATAAACTGCCAGGCGTGGTGGCTCACGCCTGTAATCCCAGCATTTTGGGAGGCTGAGGCAGGTGGATCACGAGGTCAGGAGATTGAGACCATCCTAGCTAACATGGTGAAACCCTGTCTCTACTAAAAATACAAAAAAATTAGCCAGGTGTGGTGGCAGTCGCCTGTCATCCCAGCTACTTGGGGGGCTGAGGCAGGAGAATGGTGTGAACCCAGGAGGCCAAGCTTGCAGTGAGCCGAGATCGCACCACTGCACTCCATCCTGGGCGACAGAGCAAGACTCCATCTCAAAAAAAAAAAAAGAAAAAAATGCAAAATAATCTGTAAATACAGAAAGCAGATCAGGGATAACAGGGGGTAGGGGAAAGAGTTTAGGGGAGGTTTCTGGGAAGAAGGGATCACAGGAAACTTTCAGGAGATGATATTTATCAACGTGACTGTGGCAATGGTTTCATGGGTGTACACATGTCAAATCTTATCAAATTGCATACTTTAACTGTGTAGTTTACTGTGTGTCAATTATACCTCAATAAAGCTGTTTTGAAAGGAAAAGGAAAGGAGCAATAACTTTTTAGAATTGGCTTCAATAGAGTTCTTCGATTGAGAAGAAAAAATGGAATGTATTAAATAAAATGTAACACTCACTGTGGAATTATTCACATCTTTGGATAAATTTCTGAACACCATTAAATTTCATGAAAAAACATTCTTAAAATTCATAAGTGTATCATATACACAATATTTCATAAGTGCGGGAATAAGTAAATCATGTCATAGTTCTTGCATGAGTAAAAAGCAGAAAAAAAAATAGTATTTGAAGGAAGAGATTCTGGACCAGGAGCCATGATATTCTGATAAATGAATTCAGTGTGGAGAAAATAGGTTTGCTAGCCAGGCGCGGTAGCTCACACCTTTAATCCCAGAACTTTGGGAGGCCGAGGTGGCAGATCACTTGAGGTCAGCAGTTCAAGACCAACCTGGCTAACATAGGGAAACCCCGTCTCTACTAAAAATACAAAAATTAGCTGGGCGTGATGGTGGGCGCCTGTAACCCCAGCTACTCGGGAGGCTGAGGCAGGAGAATTGCTTAAACCCGGGAGGTGGAGGTTGCAGTTAGCTGAGATCGAATCACTGCACTCCAGCCTGGGCAACAGAGCAAGACACTGTTTCAAAAAAAAAAAAAAAGATGTGCTTTACAGAATCTGTGAGGTTTCCAGTTTGTTAGCATACCTTCAACTGTTTTTTTTCTGAAATTATCTGTTTTGTTCTAATATTTTCCTTTTCTAATAAATACAGGCATTCTATCTTTCCCTCTCTCTCCCACCTCTCTCTCACACACACACTCCATAGTTCTCATGCTCCTAAAATTTATCTTTGGATTGATATAATTGTATATTTGTCAATGTAAATCAAAACCCAAAATATGCATGTGTTTTGTGGGCCTAGAAGTGTGGCTTGTGAAAAAAAATGATGGTAAAATTCAAGATTAGGAAAGGTACAGTTTATTATTAAACTCCTATAAAATCTTTTTTTTTTTTTGAGACAGAGTCTCACTCTGTCACCCACACTGGAGTGCAGTGGCTTGATCTCGGCTCACTGCAACCTGCTTCCCAGGTTCAAGTAATTCTCCTGCCACAGCCTCCCAAGTAGCTGGGACTACAGGTGCACACCACCGCCCCCAGCTAATTTTCATATTTTTAGAGACAGGGTTTCACCATGTTGGCCAGGCTGTTCTCGAACTCCTGATCTCATGATCCACCTGCCTTGGCTTCCCAAAGTGCTGGGATTACAGGCGTGAGTCACTGCTCTTGGCCCTAAAGTGTTTATTATAACCATCGTAATATCTCAGTAGTCACACAAGTAAAGAATAAAAATATAACATACGGGATCAATATTCTCCACACTCTCTGGAGTGTAATGCCACTGGGAATAAGGATTGCTAGAGATGATTGGCATGTATTACCCAATAGTACAGTATTACCGTCTGCTACCTAGGACCTTGAGCAAGGTGGAATACGCTAACATTTTTCGTAAGATAACACGTCAGTCAATATACAACAGTGTTAACATGATAAAAAACCATTTTGTTTCCTTTATTAAAACAAATTAAGTTTACAAACAGACTGAAAAAAGCATTTCAAAATCCACTGTTTTCCCAATGGCCAAAATACAGATTACTCTCAAGAAGCATTCTTGTTCTTCGGATACCATGATCTATGTAAAAAATATGCCTCCGGCCGGGTGTGGTGGCTCACACCTGTAATCCCAGCACTTTGGGAGGCTGAGGCAGGTGGATCACCTGAGGTCAGGAGTTCAAGACCAGCCTGTCTCTACTAAAAATAGAAAAAAAATTAGCCAGGCATGGTGGCAGGGACCTGTAATCCCAGCTACTCTGGAGGCTGAAGTAGGAGAATCGCTTGAACCCGGGAGGCGGAGGTTGCAGTGAGCTGAGAGCGCCATTTCACTCCAGCCTGGGCAACAGGAACGAAACTCCATCTCAAACAAAACAAAACAAAACAAAACAAAACAAAACAAAATGCTTCCTTTATTTTTTAAACTGAGGCTAAGTGTTTAGAAAATTGAATTCAAAATAAATTTATTTCCCACCAGAGAGGAGTTATCTGCACTTTTTGAGAAAGGTTCTTGCCCCATCACCGAGGCTGGAGTGCAGTGGTGTGTTCATGGCTCACTGCAGCCTCTACCTCCTGGGCTCAAGAAATCTTTTCACCTCTCCTGAGTAGCAGGGACCACAGGGACATGCCACCATGCCTAGCTAATTTTTAAATTTTTTGTAGAGATGAGATCTCACTATATTGCCCAGGCTGGTCTTGAACTCCGGGGCTCAAACAATCCTCCTGCTTAGGCCTCCCAAAGTGTTGGGATTACAGGTGTGAGGCCACCATGCCTGACCTATCTGCACTTTCATCTCTTATCTGTGAAGATTTCTTTCTTGCTACCATACCAATCAATATTCAGGAGTTCTAACTATTGCTACTATGAAGATATATCAGAATATTGATGGACTAAGCAGACTTTTCTCGCTCTCTTTTTTTTTTTTTTGTCTTTTTGGGAGCGGGGACGGAATTTCACTCTTGTTGCCCAGGCTGGAGTGCAATGGCGTGATCTTGTCTCACTGCAACCTCCGCCTACTGGGCTCAAGTGATTCTCCTACCTCAGCCTCCCAAGTAGCTGGGATTACAGGCATGCGCCACCACGCCCAGCTAATTTTGTATTTTTAGTAGAGATGGGGTTTCTCCATGTTGGTCAGGCTGGTCTTGAACTCCCGACCTCAGGTGATCTGCCCACCTTGGCCTCCCAAAGTGCTGGGATTACAGGCGTGAGCCACGACACCCGGCCCAGACTTTTCTCTTTAATGAGTAATTGGTAAAACTATTCACTTCTGAAACTCAGAGTGTCCCTGTCTCATACTTTAATACAGAAGAACGAACACCACTAACGTGTGACTTAATACACTGTCACACAATGAGAACACATGGACACAGGGAGGGGAGAAATGCACACTGGAGCCTGTTGGGGGGTGGAGAGAGGGAGAACATCAGGATAAATAGCTAATGCATGCGGGGCTTAATACCTAGGTGATGGGGTGATAGGTGCAGCAAACCACCATGGCACACGTTTACCTATGGAACAAACCTACACGACCTGCATATGTATCCAGAGCTTAAATTGAATTAAATTAAATTTTAGTTTGAAGTCAGGTAGCATGATGCCTCCAGCTTTGTTCTTTTTGCTTAGGATTGTCTTGGCAATGTGGGCTCTTTTTTGGTTCCATATGAAATTTAAAGTAGTTTTTTCTAGTTCTGTGAAGAAAGTCAGTGGTAGCTCGATGGGGATAGCATTGAATCTATAAATTACACGGGGCAGCATGGCCATTTTCACGATATGGATTCTTCTTATCCATGAGCATGAAATGTTTTTCCATTTGATTTTGTCCTTTCTAATGTCCTTGAGCAGTGGTTTGTAGTTCTCCTTGAAGAGGTCCTTCATCTCCCTTGTAAATCGTATTCCTAGTTATTTCATTCTCTTTGTAGCAATTGTGAATGGGAGTTCACTCATGATTTGGCTGCTTGTCTATGATTGGTGTATAGGGATGCTTGTGATTTTTGCACATTGATTTTGTATCCTGAGACTTTGCTGAAGTTGCTTATCAGCCTAAGGAGTTTTGGGGCTGAAACGATGGTTTGTTTTTTTTTGGTTTTTTTTGTTTTTTTTTTTTGAGATGGAGTCTCCCTCTGTCGCCCAGGCTGGAGTGCAGTGGCACGATCCCAGCTCACTGCAAGCTCCGCCTCCTGGGTTCACGCCATTCTCCTGCCTCAGCCTCCTGAGTAGCTGGGACTACAGGCGCCCACCACCATGCCTGGCTAATTTTTTGTATTTTTGGTAGAGACAGGGTTTCACCGTGTTAGCCAGGATGGTCTCGATCTCCTGACCTCATGATCCACCCACCTCAGCCTCCCAAAGTGCTGAGATTATAAGCCTGAGCCATGGTGCCCGGCCTGGGGTTTTCTAAATATAGAATCATGTCATCTGCAAACAGAGACAATTCGACTTCCTATCTTCCTATTTAAATACCTTTATTTCTTTCTCTTGCCTGATTGCCCTGGTCAGAACTTCCAACACTATGTTGAATAGGAGTGGCTAGAGAGGGCATCCCTATCTTGTACCAGTTTTCAAAGGGAATGCTTCCAGCTTTTGCCCATTCTGTATGATATTGGCTGTGGGTTTGTCATAAATAGCTCTTACTATTTTGAGATATGTTCCATCGATGCCTAGTTTATTGAGAGTTCTTAGCATGAAGGGCTGTTGAATTTTATCGAAGGCCGTTTCTGCATCTATTGAGATAATCATGTGGTTTTTGTCATCCGTTCTGTTTATGTGATGGATTACATTTATTGATTTGCATATGTTGAACCAGCCTTGCATCCCAGGGATGAAGCCGGCTTGATCGTGGTGGATCAGCTTTTTGATGTGCTGCTGGATTCAGTTTGCCAGTATTTTATCGAGGATTTTCGCATCGATGTTTATCAGGGATATTGGCCTGAAATTTTCTTTTTCTGTTGTGTCTCTGCCAGGTTTTGGTATCAGGATGACGCTGGCCTCATAAAATGAGTTAGGGAGGAGTCCCTCTTTTTCTATTGTTTGGAATAGTTTCAGAAGGAATGGTACCAGCTCCTCTTTGTACCTCTGGTGGAATTCGGCTGTGAATTTGTCTGGTCCTGGGCTTTTTTTAGGTGGTAGGCTATTAATTACTGCCTCTATTTCAGAACTTGTTATTGGTCTGTTCAGGGATTCGACTTCTTCCTAGTTTAGTCTTGGGAGGGTGTATTTGTCCAGGAATTTATCCATTTCTTCTAGATTTTCTAGTTTATTTGCGAAGAGGTGTTTATAGTATTCTCTGATGGTACTTTGTATTTCTATGGGATCAGTGATGATATCCCCTTTTTCGTTTTTTATTGTGTCTATTTATTCTTCTCTCTTTTCTTCTTTATTAGTCTGGCTAATTAGGTCTCTTTGTTTTGTTAATCTTTTCAAAAAACCAGCTCCTGGATTCACTGATTTTTTTGAAGGGTTTTTTCATGTCTCTATTTCCTTCAGTTCTGCTCTGATCTTAGTTATTTCTTGCCTTCTGCTAGCTTTTAAATGTGTTTGCTCTTGCTTCTCTAGTTATTTTAATTGTGATGTTAGGGTGTCAATTTTAGATCTTTCCCGCTTTCTTCTGTGGGCATTTAGTGCTATAAATTTTCCTCTAAACACTACTTTAGCTGTGTCCCAGAGATTCTGGTACATTGTATCTTTGTTCTCATTGGTTTCAAAGAACTTATTTATTTCTGCCTTAATTTCGTTATTTACCCAGTAGTGATTCAGGAGCAGGTTGTTCAATTTCCGTGTAGTTGGGCGGTTTTGAGTGAGTTTCTTAATCCTGAGTTCTAATTTGATCGCACTGTGGTCTGAGGGACTGTTTGTTATGATTTCCCTTCTTTTGCATTTGCTGAGGAGTGTTTTAAATTAAATTTTTTAAAAAACAGTTATAAGTCAAACAAAAGGAACCCCTACATCTAGATTTTCCTCATGCATGCCCTTTCAGTGCCCTCAGTCTTCCATTTTTGTGAGTTTATGTGAATGATGCCCACATAATATATACCTCATAGCTTGGAGGTAACAACAATTGACCACATGCTTTTACATACAAAGTAGGAATAAAGAATAGCATTGAATAATTTGAGGGTTGAATTACATAAATAATAATTTTTCAGGCCAGATGCAGTGGCTTAACACCTATAATCTCAGCACTTTGGGAGGCCAAGGCAGGAGGATCCCTTGATTCCAAGAGTTCAAGACTAGCCTGAGCAACATAGTGAGACCCTCATCTCTAAAAAAATATATAAAAATTAACCAGACATGGTGGTGCACACCTGTAGTCTCAGCTGCTCAGGAGGCTGAGGAGGGAGAATCACTTGAACCCAAGAGGTTGTGGCTGCAGTGAGCCATGATATTGCCACTGCACTCCAACCTGGATGACAGAGTGAGATCCTGTCTCAAAAAATAAAAAATAAAATCATATTTGCTCACACAATCTTAAATACTGTCATTACCAGAAACAAGTATACAGTAAATAGAATTATACCTACTGATCCATCAATCTCTCTTCTTTGAAACGTGAAATTAAATTGTCTAATTGTTTTGACTGGGTTATTCCCTATAATAAAGTCTGTGATTTAGAGTGATGTCAGAAGTGTTAGTACCTCAGTTCTTTCTAGGGCGAGTCCTCTGATTTTCATTTAGACTTGATTTTTCATTAAGTGCTTTCTCACACTTACTGCACCTATAATGTTTCTTTCCAGCATACACTCTCTGGTGCTTTCTAAGTTGTATATTTTGGACAAAGGTCCTTCCACATTTATTACATTTGTAGAGGTTCTCTCCTATAGAAATTCTCTGTTGAGCAAAATTTAAGCATCAGTTAAAGGTTTTGCTAACTGTTTTACATTGGTACAATTTCCCTCCAGGGTAAATACTGTGGTGTTCTCTGAAGTGTATATTTTGCACAAAAGTCTTTCCAAAATTATTACATTTGTAGGGTTTCTATCCAGTACCAATCCTTTAATTTTTAGTAAGGTGTGAACACCTATTAAAGGCTTTGCCGTATTCTTTCCATTTCAAAGGTTTCTCTACAGTATGGATTCCCTGATGTGTAAGGATTGAGTAGTAGTTAATGGGTTTACCATTCTTTACATTTTATACTTCTCTCCAATATAGATTTCCTTATGTCTATTTAGATGTGATGATTGACTAAAGACTCTTCTACCTTTATTTCATGTGGGAAAAAGCAAGAGAGATCAGATTGCTACTGTGTCTGTGTAGAAAGAAGTAGACATGGGAGACTCCATTTTGTTATGTACTAAGAAAAATTCTTCTGCCTTGAGATTCTGTGACCTTACCCCCAACCCCGTGCTCTCTGAAACATGTGCTGTGTCAACTCAGGGTTAAATGGATTAAGGGCGGTGCAAGATGTGCTTTGTTAAACAGATGCTTGAAGGCAGCATGCTCCTTAAGAGTCACCACCACTCCCTAATCTCAAGTACCCAGGGACACAAACACTGCGGAAGGCTGCAGGGACCTCTGCCTAGGAAAGCCAGGTATTGTCCAAGGTTTCTCCCCATGTGACAGTCTGAAATATGGCCTCGTGGGAAGGGAAAGACCTGACCGTCCCCCAGCCCGACACCCGTAAAGGGTCTGTGCTGAGGAGGATTAGTATAAGAGGAAGGCATGCCTCTTGCAGTTGAGACAAGAGGAAGGCATCTGTCTCCTGCCCGTCCCTGGGCAATGGAATGTCTCGGTATAAAACCCGATTGTACGTTCCATCTACTGAGATAGGGAAAAACCGCCTTAGGGCTGGAGGTGGGACATGCGGGCAGCAATACTGCTTTGTAAAGCATTGAGATGTTTATGTGTATGCATATCTAAAAGCACAGAACTTAATCCTTTACCTTGTCTATGATGCAAAGACCTTTGTTCACATGTTTGTCTGCTGACCCTCTCCCCACTATTGTCTTGTGACCCTGACACATCCCCCTCTCAGAGAAACACCCAGGAATGATCAATAAATACTAAGGGAACTCAGAGGCTGGCGGGATCCTCCATATGCTGAACGCTGGTTCCCCGGGTCCCATTATTTCTTTCTCTATACTTTGTCTCTGTGTCTTTTTCTTTTCCAAGTCTCTCGTTCCACCTTACGAGAAACACCCACAGGTGTGGAGGGGCAACCCACCCCTTCAATTACATCTGTGTGAATTTTTTCCAGTGAGAATTATCTGATGCTGAGTAAGCAGTGAGAACTAGTTAGAATTTTCCCACATTTCTTACATCTGTAAGGCTTCTCTTGAGTATGGATACTCTGATGGATGGTAAGTTTTGGGGAATGTTAAAATACTTTCCTTTATTTATTACATTTCTAATGATTATCTGGAAAATAAGTACTCTGATGTTTACTGGAATTTGAGTGATGGTTAAAGTTTTTCTGAGTTTCATTACAAAAGGTTTATTTCAAAAATCGATGTTGATATTTACTTATAGAAACATGTTTCTATATAGAAGCAGCTGATGTAAGTTGAGGTTTCTTCTGAGATGTTCTATGTTCTTGGTCTCCTGTGGCAGGTAAATTTCTGTTATGAGTAGTTGTTGCCCATTGGTGATGCACATTATAACGTTCTTTTTGGCCTTTACCTCCACCCACATCTTCACACTTTTTCCTTAAGTGTAAATTCTCAAAGTCACAGCTTTCATCACTTCCCATTATTACTTTTCAAAATAAAATATCTGTGCTCTGCTTTGGTGAAAGGCCTTGGTTGTAATGAGATGACAGAGCTGAAAGAAATTAACATAACAGATTATCTTACTGGATTTTGTAGAATATACCTTATGAATCTAATATAAAATTATACCAGGCTGAAGACATGAGCATGATGGCAAAATTTTTAAAAATTCAAAGCAACCGGCTGGGTGCAGTGGCTCACACCTATAATCCCAGCACTTTGGGAGGCTGAGGCCGGCAGATCACCTGAGGTCAGGAGATCGAGACAAGCCTGGCCAATATGGCGAAACCCCATCTCTACTAAAAATACAAACATTAGCCAGGCATGATGGCGCATGCCTATAATCCTAGCTACTCAGGAGGCTGAGGCAGGAGAATCGCTTGAACCTGGGAAGCAGTGGTTGCAGTGAGCCAAGATTGGGCCACTGCACTCCAGCCTGGGCGACAGGGTGAGACTTCGTGTCAAAAAATAAATTAATTAATTAAAAATAAACTGTTAAGCCACAAAACAAGTTTTTACAGGTTTTAAAAAGTGGGACTCTTACAAAGTATGATTTCAGATAGAAGTTAAATAAAACTAGAAACCAAAAGCACAAATAATTCTGAAAAATTCAAATATGTAACAATTAAACAACAAACTCTTGAACATGCTCTCATTTAAGGGATAAAAGACTTAACAGTGTGAAGATGGCCATATTCGGCCCAAAGTGATCTACAGATCCAATGCAATCTCTATCAAAGTTTCCAATGTCATGTTTTGCATAAATATAAAGAGCAATTCTAAAAACCATATGAAATTTAAGGAACCAGAAGAGCCCAAGAGTTGTCAAAAAGAGAAAAACACTGGAGACATCATGCTTTGATTTTAAAACAGATTATAAAGCTATAGTAATCAAAATAGTCTGGTACTGGAATAAAGGAAGACAAATACAACAATGAAACAGAATAGAGCACAGAAACAAGCCCTTGCATACATGGTCATATTAAGTGTTATTTGCACATCCATATTCACTGCAGCATTTTTCACAAAAGCTAAAAGTGGAAGGCATCCAAATTCCCTCAATGAAAGAATGGATAAGGACAATTTGAAAAACACAAATAACTGAATATTATTCAGCTTTTAAAAGCTGAAATTTTGTTATATTGACAATAGGGATAAATCGAGGACACTATGGTAAGTGAAATAACCAAGTGACAAAAAAGATACTGGGCCAGGTGCAGTGGCTCACGCCTGTAATCCCAGCATTTTGGTTGGCTGAGGTGGGCGGATCACTTGAGGTCAGAAGTTTGAGGCCAGCTGGACCAATATGGTGAAACCCCGTCTCTACTAAAAATGCAAAAATTAGCTGGCCATGGTGATGGGCATCTGTAATCCCAGCTACTTGGGAGGCTGAGGCAGGAGAATCGCTTGAACTCAGAGGCAGAGGTTGCAGTGAGACAAGACCATGCACTGCATTCCAGCCTGGGTGACAGAGTGAGACTGTCTCCAAAAAAAAAAAAAAAAAAAAAAAGAGAGAGATACTGTATGATTCCATTTATATGAGATATCTAAAGTAGTCAAACCCCTGGAAAAAGAAAGTAGAATACACTTTGTCAGGAGCTGGGGGTAGGAGAAAATGGATAGTTGTTTCAGGGACAACCTGTTAGAAGACAAAACAACTCATCATTTTTGAGAGGACTGACTCATACACTGTATCTTTTCTGACCACGTGAAATAAAGCTAGAAATGTAAAGTTGAAGCAAAACTGACAAATCTAAAAATACGTGAAAGATAACAACACACTCTTGAATGCTTTTTTTTTTTTTTTTTTTTTTTTTAGATGGAGTCTCGCTCTGTCGCCCAGGCGGGAGTGCGGTGGCGCGATCTCGGCTCACTGCAAGCTCCGCCTCCCGGGTTCACACCATTCTCCTGCCTCAGCCTCCCGAGTAGCTGGGACCACAGGTGCCCACCACTACGCCCGGCTAATTTTTTGTGGTTTCAGTAGAGACGGGGTTTCACCGTGTTCGCCAGGATGGTCTCGATCTCCTGACCTCGTGATCCGCCCGCCTCGGCCTCCCAAAGTGCTGGGATGACAGGCGTGAGCCACCGCGCCCGGCCTGAACAGTCTTCAACAGATGATGTTGGAAAACTGGATATCCACGTGGGAAAAAATGAGACTGGAGACTTACCCTGCATCATATACAAAAGCCATCTTAAATGGATTAGACACTTAAACATAAAAACTGTAACTCTAGGCCGGGCGCGGTGCCTCACGCCTGTAATCCCAGCACTTTGGGAGGCCGAGGCGGGCGGATCACGAGGTCAGGAGATCGAGACCATCCTGGCCAACATGGTGAAACCCCGTCTGTACTAAAAATACAAAAATTAGTGCACACACCTGTAGTCCCACTTACTCGACAGGCTGAGGCAGGAGAATTGCTTGAATCCGTGAGGCGGAGGTTGAAGTGAGCCGAGATCACACCATTGCATTCCAGCCTAGGCGACAGTGAGACTCTGTCTCGAAATACATAAATAAATAAATAGAAAATAAACTGTAACTCTAAAATCCTTAGAAGAAAACATAAGGGGAAAGATGATAACATTGGTCTTCGCAATATTTTCTTGGGTATGACATCAAATATATAAACAACAACAAAAAAGACTAAAAGAATGAACTACATTAAACTTAAAAAACTGCATGTCAAAGGAAACATTCAGTGGAGTCAAAATCCCACCTAAGGAATGAGAGAAAATATTTGAAAAGCAAATATCTGACAGGATATATATAAACAACTACAAAAACTAAACAAAGAAAAAGCAAATAATGCCATTTAAAAGTGGGCAAAAAACTGACCAGTGATATACAAATCCTTAGAAAAATGCAAAGCAGCCAGGCGCAATGGCTCACACCTATAATAAAAATACAAAAATTAGGCCGGGCGCGGTGGTTCACGTCTGTAATCCCAGCACTTTGGGAGGCCGAGGCGGGCAGATCACGAGGTCAGGAGATCGAGACCATCGTGGCTAACATGGTGAAACCCCGTCTCTACTAAAAATACAAAAAATTAGCTGGGCTTGGTGGCGGGCACCTGTAGTCCCAGCTACTGGGGAGGCTGAGGCAGGAGAATGGCGTGAACCCGGGAGGCGGAGCTTTCAGTGAGCCGAGATCGCGCCCCTGCACTCCAGCCTGGGCGACAGAGCGAGACTCCGTCTCAAAAAAAACAAAAACAAAACAAAACAAAACAAAAAAAATTAGTTGGGTGTGTTGGCAGGTAGGTGCCTGTAGTCCCAGCTACTCGGGAGACTGAAGTGGGAGGTTCAGTTGAGCCCAGGAGGTTGAGGCTGCAGTGAGCCAAGATTGCACTACTTCACTCCAGCCTGGGTGAAAGAGTAAGACCCTGCCTCAAAAAAATAAATAAATAAATAAATAAAATAAAAATGTAAAGCAAATCTACCAGATTTCCTTTGCTAACACCCATTACATGGCCACTATCAAGCAAATAAAGAACCCACAAATGGTCTCTAGGATGTGGAGAAACTGAGACCTCTGTGCACTGCTAGTGGGGAAATATTGATCCAGCTACTATAAAAAATAGTACAGAAGTTTCTCTCTCTCTTTTTTTTTTTTTTTCTTTTTGAGACAGAGTTTTGCTCTGTTGCCCAGGCTGGAGTGCAATGGTGTGATCTTGGCTCACTGCAACCTCCGCCTCCCATGTTCAAGTGATTCTCCTGCCTCAGCCTCCCTATAGATGGGATTACAGGCACACGCCACCACACCCGGCTAATTTTTGCATTTTTAGTAGAGACGGGGTTTCGCTATGTTGGCCAGGCTGGTCTCGAACTCCTGACCTCAGGTGATCTGCCCTCCTCGGCCTCCCAAAGTGCTGGGATTACAGGCGTGAGCCACCGCACCCGGCCGTACGGAGGTTTCTCAAACGGAATTATTATATGATATAGCGATTCCACTTCTGGGTGTCTATCCAAAATATGCAAAGCAGGACCTGAAAAACTTACCTGCACACCCATGTTTATTGCAGGAATATTCATGAAAGCGGAAACGTGGACGCAACCCAAGTGTTCTTTGATGAATGAATGCATAAAGAAAATGTGGCATCTGGCCAGGCGCGGTGGCTCACCCCTGTAATCCCAGCACTTTGGGAGGCCGAGGCGGGCCAATCACGAGGTCAGGAGATCGAGACCATCCTGGCTAACACGGTGAAACCCCGTCTCTACTAAAAATACAAAAAATTATCTGGGCATGGTGGCACGCGCCTGTAGTCCCAGCTACTCGGGAGGCTGAGGCAGGAGAATCACTTGAACCCAGGAGGTGGAGGTTGCAGTGAGCTGAGATCACGCCGCTGCACTCCAGCCTGGGCGACAGAGCGTGACTCCATCTCAAAAAAGAGAATAGTAACAACCGATTCAGAAATATGAAACAGATTGAGTATTTTTCCCAAAGAAGACATACAAATGGCCAACAGGCATATAAAAAGGTACTCAACATCACCAGTCATCCCACTAAAAACACACGTCACTCAAATTCTAAAAAGGAATTACATTAAATATAACAAGTATTTGTACAAGAATATTTATAGATCTTTTGTTCATAAAAACCCAAAATAGGAAACAACCCGAATGTCCATCAACAGAAAAATGGTTCAGCAAATTGTAGAGCGGATATTCATACAACAGGATGCTACCCAGCAGTACGAAGACACAAGCCACTGAAGCACACACCCTGACTGCATCTCACAAGCTGGGTATATGAGACAAAGTGGAATAAAATGCATATTGTATGGCTTCAGGCAAAAATGAACCTAGAGTGAAAATAAATCAACACAGCCTCTGAAAGTAGAAAAAAACTGCCTGGGAAGAAATACGAGGAAGTTTTCTGAGAATGATGAAAATATTCCATTCTTAAAAGGGGTGAAGCTTATATGGGTATATTTTATTTTTTAAAAACTGTACATTTAAGATTTGTGCCTTTCAATGTGTGTACATCTGACCTCATGCAAAAAAAAAAGGAACTAAAAAAATACAGCAGTGGGTGCAGAATGGGTTGAAGCATAGATGAAAGAAAAATGGCACAAGATGAGTAGTTCTTGAATCAGGGTGACGGGTCTATTATACTATTTCGTTTATTTTGTATATGGCTAAAATTTTCTGTAATAAAACGCTTGTATGAAAAGGCAAAAGTGATGTACAATGTTAGCTCTTAAGATCTTTAAATGAACCAGTTGTGGTGGTTGTGTGCCTGTAGTCCCAACTACTCAGTTGGCTGAGGTAGGAGGATCGCTAGAGCATCTTCAGCCTGGGTGAAAGGGTTAGACTCTGTCTCAAAAAAAGAAAAAAAAAATCGGCAGGGCACAGTGGCTCACGCCTGTAATCCCAGCACTTTGGGAGGCCAAGGCGGGTGCATCACCTGAGGTCAGGAGTTCGAGACCAGGCTGGCCTATATGGTAAAACCCTGTCTCTACTAAAAATACAAAAATTAGCCGGGTGTGGTGGCAGGCGCCTGTAATCCCAGCTACTCGGGAGGCTGAGGCAGCAGAATCGCTCGATTCCGGGAGGTGGAGGTTGCAGTGAGTCAAGATCGCGCCATTGCACTCCAGCCTGGGGGACAAGAGCGAGACTTCGTCTTAAAATAATAATAATAATAATAATAATAATAATAATAATAATAATCTTACTTACCACTGGGGAGGTAGATAAGGGAGGCAGATAGTAATTGTTGGGATATGAGTGATGCTGGTTCTATTTCTTGGTTATACAACTGTATTTGCTTTGTAATAACTCACAGAGCTTTACATGAATGCTTTGTATTTTTTTGTATGTGTGTTGTGTATCAAAAAAATTATTATATATTTTTACATAAATCCTAACTTAGAATCTCAGAATAACAGTAGTGTTTTATTTTGTTTGAAGTGAGACACACTCACCCATGATACCATCAAATGACTTTAAATATTCTGAGCTATTCATTCATGTTGTAACCTTGGGTGCTCCCCTAGGTCTTTTCAGTTTTACTCCAATTTGGAAAGTGGAATGGTTTCAATCTGGGGGGATGCAACTTTTTCCCAGCAAAGTCCTCTCCCCACAATGATGTTCACCAAGGCCAGGGCAGCTAGTACAGTGCCCTGTGCATAGCAGGGCAGTTGTAGAACTGGGCTGAATCAGAAACAAAATTAGTAGCAACCACTGGTTCAAGGTAAGAGATGCATTAACTGTGCATGAATTCCATATGTGTTGTGAGGGTTTGCCCCATGGCCAGTCCAGGGTTTAGGTCTTAGAAAATAGCTTTGCCCTGTTAAGAACCAAAGAATGACTTCAAGACATACTCAGCTGTTTGGCTAAATTTCTGCAGGAGGAAATGTCTTCACAGCCGATTTTTTTGTTTTGTTTTGTTTTTGTTTTTGAGATGGAGTTTTCCTCTTATTACCCAAGCTGGAGTGCAAAGGCATGATCTCGGCTCACTGTAACCTCCGCTTCCCAGGCTCACGCGAGTCTCCTGCCTCAGTCTCCTGAGTAGCTGGGATTACAGGCGACCACCACCACTCCTGGCTAATTTTTAAAAATACTTTTAGCAGAGACGGGGTTTCGCCATACTGGCCAGGCTGGTCTCAAACTCCTGGCCTCATGTGATCCTCCCTCCTCAGCCTCCCCAAGTGCTGGGATCACAGGCGTAAGCCACCACGACCCGCCAGATCCTAGAAAATTTTAAATGACACGCGTGGCTCACCTTTTATTTATATTGCATATTGCTGCCTGAGAGGATTGCCTCACTTTCCACAGCTCAGGCTGCCTGGTCAAAAGACCAGAGGCCCGGAAGGTTATGAAATCGGAAACTTTAAAATAATTATCATTCATTGTTTCTATTTGTGAAATATATATGTGTGTGTGTGTGTGTGTGTGTGTGTGTGTGTAAAACTTATGAATGGATATAATCTTATATACAAGGTTAAATGCCATTATCCCCCAGGCAGGTGGGTCCAGGTCGAAGTGCCGTGAGGAATGTCGCTTCAAAAGGGCTGCACCCAAAAACCTGTCACTCTTGTTTCATTCGGCCCAGTGTCTGATCGCACCTCCTGTCACTCAAGACCTGAGGGGGTGGGGCCTGGAGCCCCATCCAGTCAGCGGCGCTAGCGTGAGAACTGTCCAATCAGGCGTGCAGCCAGAGAGGAAGGGGCGGCCTTGGGGATCTGGCGGGGCCTTTGTCTCCTTGCGGCCGGCGGGGTGCTGGGTTCCCGTCTGCTGCCTCTCGGAGAGTCCCGGGTGACTGCCGCAGGCTCCATCGCCCTGTGGCCTGCAGGTATTGCGAGATTTATAGGGAGGACGCTGGGACCCCCAAAAGCTGGGAAATGGTGAGTGTGCGGAGCAGGGTGTCCCGAGAAGGGAGAGGGGGTGGTTGGAATCGGTTGGAATTGGCTGGAACCAGCGCTGGCGGCCCCGGGCCTCCCGGCGGTCGGCTCCGGAGTGTGCGGCCGAGTCCCGCTGGCGCAGCTCGGCCCTCAGTCCCGTCCCGCGCAGGTGGGGGCCGGGCCGGCAGCGGGATCCCGGCCGCTGGGTGACTGTCCGGTCTCTGCCTGGTGACTTCGGCACGGCCCAGAGCCCTCCCGGGGCAGCCCCGCGCCCGCAGCGCCGCGTCTTCCCTGGATTGTGCTGTGATGACGGAGGGGTTGTCGGGAGAGTCCCGACTCCCGTGAAAGGTTCCTGGGTGGGAGGAGCTGTGGTCTGTGGGTTCCTTTCTCCTCTTTTTTTTTTTTTTTTTTTTTGAGACGGAGTCTCGCCCTGTCGCCAGGCTGGAGTTCGGTGGCTCGATCTCGGCTCACCGCAACCTCTGCCTCCCAGGTTCAAGCGATTCTCCTGCCTCAGCCTCCCGAGTAGCTGGAATTACAGGCGCCCACCACCACGCCCAGCTAATTTTTGTATTTTTATTAGAAACGGAGATTTCACCATGTTGGTGTCGATCTCTTGACCTCGTGATCCGCCCGCCTCGGCCTCCCAAAGTGCTGGGATTACAGGCGTGAGCCACCGCGCCCGGTCTCCTTTCTCCTCTTAAAAAAATAAACTGAAGCACCTTTGAAATGTTAAGGAGTTTATTCCAGCAAACAGTGATTTATGAATCTGGAAGCCCCTAGCCCTGGTTTGGGGCTAAACTTGAAGGGAAGGTCTTCATAAGGTGCACGAGGAAGCAACCACGTTTAATAATTGATCGGTTGCCATTATGCAGTCACCTTATTTGGACTGTCCAGGATGAAATTTCCTGATTATGTAATAAGAGATTTATTAGCATTTAGTGGTTGGTTAAGCCTACGTTTTGTTTTTCTCCAAGTTTGCAATTTACAAGAAATTCATCTAAGTTAGCTAGGATTCCTTAGATAGAATCCCAGGACATCAAAGCCACTCAGTCTAATTGTCTGCCATTTAAGTATTCTAACACTCCACAGGGGAACTGGTTTTCCCAGCATTTTTCAAATGTATGGCAAGCAGGACCTCAAATCCAGGACTCTGTTCCCCCAGCCTAACTGTTTTAGGGCCTGAAGGAAATCTTGTTTCCAGTTTCTTTTCTACATTCCCAAATGCTAACTTTGTCTCTCCAAACACAACATTATCAACTATTTGTTCTTTTTATTTATTTATTTTTTTTGAGACGAAGTCTCACTCTGTTGCCCAATGGCAGGTAAGCTGAAGTGCAGTGGCACAATCTGGGCTCACTGCAACCTCCACCTCCCAGGTTCAAGCGATTCTCCTGCGTCAGCCTCCTGGTAGCTGGGAATACAGGCAGGCGCCACCATGCCCGGCTAATTTTTGTATTTTTAGTAGAGATGGGGTTTCATTATGTTGGCCAGGCTGCCCTCGAACTCCTGACCTCGTGATCCGCCCGCCTCAGCCTCCCAAAGTGCTGGGATTACAGGCATGAACCACCGCGCCCGGCTTATTTGTCCTTTATTTGCTTTTCAAACAGATGCAAGATTTTAACGGTTCTTTTTTGTTTTTTTCACAGTGCAATGAATGGGCTTTTTTTTTTTTTCTTTTTTTTTTGAGACAGAGTCTCGCTCTGTCGCCCAGGCTGGAGTGCAATGGTGCAATCTTGGCTCACAGCAACCTCTGCCTCCCGGGTTCAAGCGATACTCCTGTCTCAGCCTCCCGAGTAGCTGGGACCACAGGCGTGTGCCACTATGCCTGGCTAATTTTTGGTATTTTTTGTAGAGACAGGGTTTCACCCTGTTAGCCAGGATGATCTCGATCTCCTGACCTTGTGATCCTCCCGCCTCGGCCTCCCAAAGTGCTGGGATTACAGGCTTGAGCCACCGTGCCCAGCCATGAGTGGCTTTTTAAAAAATATTTTCTTTCTGTTCTGAACATTTCACATGAGAAGAAAGCAGAGAATAATCACTTGACACTCTGCTGTAAAATCTTTACTCAGCCAGTGTCCTGGATAGTTTCCTTGATGTTTTCTGTTCATAGTTTGAGGTCTTAGATTTACGTCTTTAATCCATTTTGATTTGATTTTTTGTATATGCCTAGAGACGGGGGCCAAGTTTTTTTGTTGTTGTTTTTTATCGTTTTTTTTGTTTGTTTGTTTTGTTTTGTTTTGTTTTGAGACAGTCTCACTCTGTCATCCCCTGGGCTCAGGCTATTCTCGTGCCTCAGCCTCCCGAGTAAACTGGGACCACAGGTGCAGGCCACCACAGCTAGCTAACTTTTGTATTTTAATAGAGACAGGGTTTCACTGTGTTGGCCAGGCTGGTCGGACTCCTTGGCCAGGCTGGTCTCGAACTCCTGGCCTCAAGTGACCCTGCTGCTTTGGCCTCCCACAGTGCTGAGATTACATGCATGAGCCACCACACCCGGCCAAGGGGTCAAGTTTTATTCTTCTGCATATGAATATCCATTTTTCCCAGCACAACTTATTGAGAGACTGTTGTTTCCCCCAAAGTATGTTCTTGGTGCCTCTGTCACAGATTAATTTGCTGTAGATGTATGGATTTTTTTCTTGGTTCTTTATTTTGTTCCATAGAGCTATGTGTCTTGTTTTATGCTAGTACCATGCTGTTTTTGTTGCTATAGCTCTGTAATATAATCTGAAGTCAAGTAGAGTAATTCTTCCAGTTTTTTCCTTTTTGTTCAGGATGGCTTTGGCTATTCTTAGTCTTTTGTGGTTCCAAAAAAATTTTAGGCTTAGTTTTTCTATTTCTCTGAAGAATGTCATTGGTATTTTGGTAGGTATTACACAGAGTTTATAGATTGCTTTGTGGAGTTACGGACATTTTAACAGTAACATTTTAACAGTCTTCCAATCCATGAACACAGAATATATTTCTGTTATTTTGTGTGCTCTTCAGTTTCTTTCATCAATGGTTTATAGTTTCTGTTGTTGAAATCTTTCACTTCTTTGGTTAAGTTTATTCCTAGGTATTTTATTTGTTGCTATCGTAAGTGGGATTACTTTCTTCATTTCTTTTTCAGATTGTTTGCTGTTGGCATATAAAAATGCTACTGATTATCGTATGTTAGTATTGTATCCTACCACTTTACCAAATTTGCTTTTCAGTTTGAATAGTTTTTTGGTAGAGTCTTTAGGTTTTTTCAAGTGGAAGATCATATCATTTGCAAACAAGGATAATTTGACTTCTTCCTTTTGAATTTGGAGAGCTTCATTTTGTTCTCTTGTCTGTTCTAGTTAGGACTTACAGTACTAAGTTGAGTAACTGGTGAAAGTTGGCATCCTTTTCTTGTTCCACATCTTAGAGGTATAGCTGTCAGTTTTTCCTCCTTCAGTATACTAGCTGTGGGTCTGTCATGTATGATTTTACTGTGTATGCTCCTTTTATACTCAGTTTTTCGAGGGTTTTTTTTTTAAATCAATGAAGGATGTTGAATTTTATGAAATTCTTTTTCGGCATCAGTTGAAATGATCATATGGTTTTTCTCCTTCATTCTGTTAATATGATGTGTTACATGGGTTGATTTACATATGTTGAACCATCCTTGCATCCCTGGGATAAATCCCACTTGGTCATCATGAGTGATCTTTTTTGTTGTTGTTCTTTTTGAGATGGAGTCTCGCTCTCTCGCCCAGGCTGGAGTGCAGTGGTGCAATCTCAGCTCACTGCAACCTCCGCCCTCTGGGTTCAATGATTTTCTTGCCTCAGCCTCCCGAGTAGCTGGGATTACAGATGCCTGCCACCACACCCGGCTAATTTTTGTATTTTAGTAGAGACAGGGTTTCACCATGTTGGCCAGGCTGATCTCAAACTCCTAACCTCAGGTGATCCGCCCGCCTTGGCCTCCCAAAGTGCTGGGATTACAGGCATGAGCCACATGCCCGGCCCTAAGAAAAAATTTTTACTGTCATTCAAATACTAAGAATTTATGAATACACATTTTTAGAAATATAGTTCTAATGAAACAGTGTTTCAGTGTGGAACATAATGTATTTACCAACATCTAAATGTATTTTGTTTTTCTGAAATAAAAAGCCCAAAGTATGTAAGATGAACTCAAATTTAGTAACTAAATGTCTTAGCATTACATCTTATTTGGAAATGATCTGGATATTTAATGAATATCCATCACTGAATTTAGTTTACCAAAACTATAAAGATAGAGAAACTTTTTCCCCTATAATTTATTTACAATTTATTTATTTTTTCTTTTCCAATGTTTATTTTAGATTCAGGGAGTATGTGTGCAGGTTTGTTATATTGGCAAATTTTGTTTCATGGTTGTTTGGTGCACAAATTATTTATTTCATTACGCAGATAATGAGCATAATATCCAACAGGTAGTTTCTACTCTTGCCTTCCTTCTACTCTAAAGTCGGCCCTAGTGTCTTTTGTTCCCTCTTTGTGTCCATGTTTACTCAATATTTAGCTCCCACATATAAGAGAGAACATGCAGTATTTGGTTCTCTGTTCTGTATTAATTAAATTATCCAGCAGCATTCATGTTGCTGCAAAGAACATGATTTTGTGTTTGTTATAGCTGCATAGCATTCCCTGGTGTTCATGTATGTCATTTTATTTATTTAGTCCATTGTTGATGGGCAGGTAGGTTGACTCCATGTCTTTGCTATTGTGAAAAGGCTACAGTGAACATACACATGCATGTGTCTTTATTGGAGAATGATATATACTCCTTTGGGTATATACCCTGTAATGGGATTGCTGGGTCGAATGGCAGCCCTGTTTTAAGTTCTTTCAGAAATCTCCAAAATGCTTTCCACAGTGGCTAATTTATGTTTTCACCAGCAGTGTATAGGCATTCCTTTGTTTCTGCAACCTCGTTGGCATCTGTTATTTTTTGACTTTCTAATTATAACCATTTTGAATGGTGTAATAGAGCATCATTGTGGTTTTGTGTTGCATTTCTCTGATGATTAGTGATGTCGAACTTTTTTCCATATGCATGTTGGCCATGTGCATATCTTCTTTTGAGAAATGTCCCTTCAAGTCCTTTGCTGCCCCCCCCTTTTTTTTTTGAGACAGAGTCTCACTCTTTCACCCAGGCTGTAGTGCAGTGACACGATCTCAGCTCACCGCAACCTCTGCCCCCTGGGTTCAAGTGATTTTCCTGCTTCAGCTTCCCAAGCTGGGATCACAGGCATGCACCACCACACCCAGCTAATTTTTGTATTTTTAGTTGAGATGGGGTTTCGCCATGTTGGCCAGGCCGGTCTCGAACTCCTGACCTCAGGTGATCTGCCTGTATCAGCCTCCCAAAGTGCTGGGATTACATGCGGGAGCCACCACGCCCGGCCTTGGTTATTTCTTTTCTTCTGCTAGCTTTGAGGTTGGTATGCTCTTGGTTTTCTAGTTCATCTAGGTCTGACCTTAGGTGGTTAATATGAGATTTTTCTAACTTTTTGAACTGGGCATTTAGCACTATAAACTTTTCTCTTAACATTGCTTTAGCTCTGTCCAAGAGATTCTGGGATGCGGTATCTTTTTTTTTATTAGTTTCAAATAATTTCTTCATTTCTGCCTTAATTTCTTCATTTCTGCCTTAATTTCATTATTTACCCAGTCATTCAGAAGCAGGTTATTTAATTTCCTTGTAACTGTATGGTTTTCAGAGATATTCTTGATATTGAGTTCTGTTTTTATTTAACTGTGGTCTTGAGAGTGTGGTTGGTGTGATAACAGTTTTTTTTTTAATTTGTTGGTAATTGTTTTATGGCCAAGCATGTGGTTGATTTGAAAATATATGCCATGTGCAGGTGAGAAGAATGGGCATTGTGTTGTTGAATGGAGTGTTCTGTAGATGTGTATTACGTCCGTTTGTTGAGGTGTTGAGTTCAGGTCCCTATCTTTGTTAGTTTTCTGCTTTGATGATCTAATACTGTCAGTGGAATGTTAAAGTCTTCTACTAATATTGTATGGTTATCTGTGTCTGTTCATAGGTCTCTAAGAAATAGTTTTATGAATCTGGGTGCTTCAATGTTGGTTGCATATATATTTAGAATAGTTAAGTTTTCTGATTTTATTGAACATTTTATCACTATGCAATGCCCTTCTTTGTCTTGTTTCTTTTTTTTTTTTTTTTTTTTTTGAGACGAAGTCTTGCTCTGTTGCCCAGGCTGGAGTGCAGTGGCATGATCTCAGCTTACTGCAACCTCAGCCTCCTGGGTTCAAGTGATTCTCGTGCCTCAGCCTCCCGAGTAGCTGGGATTACAGGCGCCCGCCACCACGTGTAGCTAATTTTTTGTAGTTTTAGTAGAGATGGGGTTTCACTATGTTGGCCAGGCTGGTCTCAAACTCCTGACCTCAAGTGATCTGCCTGCCTTGACCTCCCAAAGTGCTGCGATTACAGCTGTGAGCCACCACGCCCGGCTCCTTTTCTTTCTTTCTTTTTTTTTTTTTAAAACAGAGACAGGGTCTTGCTATGTTGCTGAGGCTGGTCTTGAAATCCTAGGTTCAAGTGAGTCTCCCACTTTGGCCTCCCAGTGCTGATTACAGGCATTAGCCTCTGCTCCTGGCCTGTCTTTTTTCATTATTGTTGGTTTAAAGTTTGTTTTGTCTGAAATAAGAATAGTTCGTTTTTCTTTTCTGATTGCTCGACAGATTTTTCTCCTTCTGGTTACTTTTAGCCTATGGGTGTCACTGTATGTGACATGAGTTTCTGGAAGACCATAGAGTTGGGTCTTCTTTCTTTATGCAACTTGCACTCTGCTTTTTAAGTGGGGCATTTAGCCTGTTTACATTCAAAGTTAATACTGATATGTGGTGTTTTTGGTAGAAACAGGGTCTCACTATTTTGCCTAGGCTGGCCTTGAACTCCTGGGCTCAAGCAATTCTCATGCCTCATCCTCCCAAAGTGCTGGAGTTGATATGTGTGAGCCACCATACCTGGCCTTGATATGTGTGGATTTGATCCTGTCATTGCGTTGTTAGCTGGTTGTTATGTAGACTTGTTTGTGTGGTTGCTTTATAGTGTAAATGGTCTGTGTACTAGTCACTGCACCCGGCCCGTGCCTGCATTTTAACAAGATTCCTACTTCACTGACATACTTGTTAAAATTTGAGAAGTACCTTCTAACTCACCCTGACTTCTCCATATGAGAACAATACACAGTTTATCCTGTGTGATGTGAATATACCAGTGCTTGAGTTGATGCCCTTAATTTTATACTATATTATGCACAAAAGTAGACTACCTACACTGGTTTCATGGATCTTAAGCCATCTTCTTTCCTCAGAGAGAATACATTAGAGTGTGTGTATATATATATATTTTTTATTTATTTGTTTGTTTATTTATTTATTTTTGAGACAGAGTCTCGCTCTGTCACCCAGGCTGTAGTGCAGTGGTGTGATCTCGGCTCACTGCAGCTTGGCTTCAAGCAACTCTCCTGCCTCAGCCTCCCAAGTAGCTGGGACTACAGGCATGTGCCACCACGCCCGGCTAATTTTTGTGGTTTTAGCAGAGATGGGGTTTCACCGTGTTGGCCAGGCTGGTCTTGAACTCCTGACCTGGTGATCCGCCTGCCTCGGCCTCCCAAAGTGTTGGGATTACAGGTGTGAGCCGCCGCGCCCGGCCTAGAGTATATTTCTGTGTTAAAAATTATCTTATTTGATAATTCTAGTCACTCATATAAGTCAGAGCCAGTTCTCTTCACTGTCTCTCCTTGCCTGTAGTCAAATTAAGAACTCTGCCGTGACCACTTGGTAAATATGTTTTCTTTTTCAGGGACTATTGGCATTCAGGGATGTGGCTCTAGAATTCTCTCCAGAGGAGTGGGAATGCCTGGACCCAGCTCAGCGGAGTTTGTATAGGGATGTGATGTTAGAGAACTACAGAAACCTGATCTCCCTTGGTGAGGATAGCTTCAATATGCAATTCCTATTTCACAGTAAGGATTTCATCTTTTTCCTTTGTAGAATGTTTTCTGGGAGTTTCTGATTTGCATGAATGAGTTTCACATCACTGCTTTCAAGAAAACCTTGGGGATTTCTTGGTGTAGAAAACAAAACTTTCAAGATGTTTTGCCTTGACATCAACCTTTCTATTCAGCTGATGTATATCCTTGCTCTAGATTGGTGGTAATTCTAGAAATTCAGTAGTATAAAATATTGTTGCCTACACTTCAAAATCCAGTTTCCACCACCAATTTTTGATCCAGTTATTATAGTTCTTGGTAGCAGGGCTAAGGACTCACAAATTTAAAATACTTCCTACATATATTAAAGGTTCTGTCAGAAAACAGTATTTTGGAGTTAATTTTCTAGGATCTAATGTGATGTTTTCTCTTCTCTACTGAGCATAGTAAAAGGTGATTAAAGAATCCCTGCAAGAATCATGCACCTTTTTTCTAATAAAACAGGTCTTGCTATGTCTAAGCCAGAACTGATCATCTGTCTGGAGGCAAGGAAAGAGCCCTGGAACGTGAACACAGAGAAGACAGCCAGACACTCAGGTAGGTGGGAGTGAATGAAGCGAACACAGGTAGGGGTTGAAGGATCAAGGAAGAAGCCAGACTTTAAACTGTGGTTTGGGAAGCTCTACTCCCAGGAAATGGCTTCTGAGAAGCCTGGGTTTCTTTCTCTTGCTCCCACATAGGGGCATCTTCTATCTCATGCTGTTAAATTGTCTAAGGACTGTATTTCCCTTCAGTCATTTTCCTTCAAGTTTACAGTGAGCGTCACAATCATCTTCATAGTTTATAGGGGACTGCATGATCTGACTGCTCTTGCATTGCTTTTGGGGACATGGGACTGTCTGCGTATTTTTGAGGAACTCTATGCTCATATATATATATATATATATATATATATATATATATATATTTGTTTTCTTGAGACAGAGTCTCGTTCTGTCGCCCAGGCTGGAGTGCAGTGGCACAATCTCGGCTCACTACAAGCCCCACCTCCTGGGTTCAAGCGATTCCCCTGCCTCAGTCTCCCGAGTAGCTGGGACTACAGGCTCACGCCACCACACCCAGCCAATTTATTTTGTACTTTAGTAGAGACAGGGTTTCACCATGTTAGCCCATATGGTCTCAATCTCCTGACCTCATGATCCACCTGCCTCGGCCTCCCAAAGTGCCGGGATTACAGGCGTGAGCCACCGCGCCCGGCCTAAAATATTTTTTAAGATCCCTTTTTGCATTGCATGTGGAACATGTGAGAGTAGTGGTGATATTGGTATTTGGTTAAGAAATCCCAGAACACCACAAACGGATGTATATTTTCTCCTTTATGACTTACCCTGTGGAGATTTCAAATGTGATTCTACAGAAATTGATAGTAATTTTATCAGAAGACTAAGCATCTCCCTAAATATCAGAAAATCTAATGTCGTTTACTTAAAAATTTTCTTTCTTTTGTGTGAACTGAGATTTGTAATTTGAACCCTACGTGCCTAAATTTCTCAGCTGTTATATAGTTTAATATATCTACTCATATCCTAGATTTCTTAAATATGCTGGGTCGTTGGGGAGTGTAGAACATTGCTGATTATATAGTAAACTCCCACTTGTTGCCTTCCTTTAAAATAATTGTCATTTTATAATTTTCTCTTGTTTAGTATGAAACTTCATCGGTCTGTGTCATTTATATATATGTGTGTGTATATATGTATGTGTATAATGTGGATTCTTTTACACAAATAAAAATTGGATAACTATTGTACGGTGTCATGGTTTGATATCTGTATCTAGTGAAATGATTATACAGTTAAGCTAATGAACACATCTGTCACTTCACATGGTTAGTTTTATGTTGAAAACACTTGTCTGCTGTGTTAACGCAAATTTTAAGCATACAAAATATTATTAACTGTACTCATGATGCTACTCATTAGATTTCCAAAGCTTATTTATTTTATAACTGAAAGTTTGTGCCCTTTTAATACCATCTTCCATTTTCCTACCTCCTTGGCAATCACGTGTGTCTTCTGCTTCTAGGAGTCCAACCTTTTAAGATTGCTCATATGAGTGAGAAGAACAGGAAGTATTTGTTTTTCTGTGTTTGGCTTATTTCACTTAGCGACTTAGTATGTTGTTAGAATGGCAGGATTTCATTATGTTTATTGCTTAATAATACTCTATTATGTATATGTAAAACATTTTCTTTATCCATTCAGCATTCACAAAGATTCACATTGTTTCTGTATCTTGGCAATTATGACTAATGCTGTAATGAACATGGGGATGCAGATATTTATTTGAGATACTGATTTTATTTCTATTGATTTTACACACACACACACATGTGAGATTGCTGTCTTGTATGGTAGTTCTTTTTTCTTTTTTTTTTTTCTTGAGACAGAGTCTCGCTCTGTCGCCCAGGCTGGAGTGCAGTGGCGTGATCTCAGCTCACTGCACCCTCCGCCTCCCGGGTTCAAGAGATTATCCTGCCTCAGCCTCCCCAGTAGCAGGGATTACAGGTGCCCGCCACCACATCTGGCAAATTTTTGTATTTTTAGTAGAGATGGGGTTTCACCATGTTGGCCAGGCTGGTCTTGAACTCCTGACCTCAAGTGATCCCCCTGCCTCAGCCTCCCAAAGTGCTGGGATTATAGGCGTGAGCCACCGCGCCTGGACTTTTTATTTCTTTCTTTATTTTTTATATAGATGGGTTCTCACTCCTGCCCAGGCTGGTCTCAAACTCCTGGCCTCGAGCAATCCTTCCCCTCGGCCTCTCAAAATGGTGGGATTATAGGCATGAGCCACCACACATGAACAGTTTTTACTTATGTATTATAATTTTTATGAACATATTCAGTTCTGTACACTTCAAGACATTATGGTGCAAAAGTGAATAATGCAACAATCACATTGTCAGTACATTTATCTGTAAGTTTGTTTGCCTTTATAAATGTTACAGGCAAACAAACTTACAGATAAATCTACTTGCAGTAGACATGCCAGTACATTTTCTTTATGACGTGTGTGTGTATTTGCCTGGCCCTTTAGAAACACCATTCTATTTTTTAAGGATCTGTTTCAGATATCTCATATAAATGGATTCGTACAGTCTCTATCTTTTTGTGACTGGGTTACTTCATTTAGCATGTCACCAAGATTTTCATTTTTAATTTTTAAGGGTACATAGTAGGTGTATATATTTATGGGGTACATGAGATACTTTGATACAGGCATGCAATGCATAATAATCACATCAGGACAAAGGGCTTTTCTTGAAGATTCATCTTTATTGTAGATTTTACCAGATTTCCTGCTTTTTAAGCTGAGTAATATTCCATTGTGGTTTTATTTATTTATTTTTCTTGAGACATGTCAATTTCTTGGGCGTCTAAAGATTCATCTTTATTGTAGATTTTACCAGATTTCCTGCTTTGTAAAAGCTGAGTAATATTCCATTATTTGTGGGGTTGTTTTGTTTTGTTTTGTTTTTTGAGACATCTCGATTTCTTGGGCATCTGTGGTGCTAGTATGAGTTAATTTTGTTGCGAGGAGTCTCACTCTGTCGCCAAGGCTGGAGTGCATGGCCCGACTTCAGCTCACTGCAGCCTCCACCTTCCAGATTCAAGTGATCTCCCATCTCAGCCTCCTGGGTTGCTGGGACTACAGGCATGCACCACCACGCCTGGCTAATTTTCTTTTTTTTTTGTATTTTTAGTAGAGACGAGGTTTCGCCATGTTGGCCAGGCTGGTCTCAAACTCCTTACCTCAGGTGATCCACCTGCCTTGGCCTCCCAAAGTGCTGGGATTACAGGCACGGGCCACCACTGCCAGCCTATTTGTGTATTCTGAATTATATTTAACCATTCATTTGGTGAGGTAAGTTTGGGTTGTTTTCCCCTATCAGCTTTTGTGAATAATGTTGCAATAAATATGGGCATGCAAAGAACTCTTCATGTGACCATATATGTGGAGGTTTGTTTCTGTGTTTTCTATTCTGTTTCATTGACCTAACTGTCTGCCTTTATGCCAATACCAAACTGTTTTAATTACCGCAGCTTCTTTTTTTTTTTTTTTTTTTTTTTTGAGACAGAGTCTCAGCTCTGTCACCCAGGTTGGAATGCAATGGTGCGATCTCGGCTCACTGCAAACTGCGTCCCGGGTTCAGGTCATTCTCCTGCCTCAGCCTCCTGAGTAGCTGAGATTACAGGCATGTGCCACCGTGTCTTTTTAGTAGAGACGGGGTTTCACCATGTTGGCCAAGCTCGTCTTTAACTCATAACCTCAGGTGATCCACCCACCTCAGCCTCCCAAGGTGCTGGGATTACAGGCATGAGCCACTGCGCGTGGCCATAATGTATTTTAAAATCAGAAAGTATGATACCTGCAACATTGTTCTTCTTTGTGGAGATTGTTGCGCTCTTCATGGTTCCTTCACGCACTGTGTAATTTTAGGGTTGCCTTTTCTATTTCTGCAAAAACGAAATTGTGAACTTGAGAGGATTGCACTGAATCTGTAGGTCACTTGGGTGATATGAACATCTTCGTAATATTAAGTCTTCTAGCCCATGAAGAACATGCTCAAGTGTGTGTTGTTGAACTTCCGTATATTTGTGAATGTTTCAGTTTTCTTTCTGTTACTGATTTCTTGTTTTATTCCATTTTGGTCATAAATAATAATCTATAAGATTTTAATTTTTAAAAATGGGTTAAGACTTGTTTTGTGGCCTGACAGGTGGTCTGTCAAGGAGAATGTTTTCTGAGCTGTTGAGAATATCGTGGATTCTGTTGTTTAGGGTGTTCTCTAGAGGTCTGTTGGTTGTCACTGTTTTATAGTGCTTTCAAGTCCCCCGTTCCCTGTGTACTTGTTGCTTCATTTCTGTAAATAGTTGCTTTATATATCGTGAACCCTGGTGAGACACAGATGTAGACATAAATACACAGACATACATTTGTCATAGGTTTTCTGTGAACAAAACCTTTTATTATTTATTGTCTTTTTTGTCTCCTGTGAGTTGTTCGTGTTTTTTGTTTGTTTGTTTTTTGTTTTTGTTTTTGTTTTTGAGACGGAGTCTTGCTCTGTCGCCCAGGCTGAAGTGCAGTGGGGCTATCTTGGCTCACTGCAAGCTCTGCCTCCCGGGTTCACGCCATTCTCCTGCCTCAGCCTCCCGAGTAGCTGGGACTACAGACGCCCTCCACCATGCCCAGCTAATTTTTTGTAATTTTAGTAGAGATGGGGTTTCACCATGTTAGCCAGGATGGTCTCTATCTCCTGACCTCGTGATCCGCCTGCCTCAGCCTCACAAAGTGCTGGGATTACAGGCGTGAGCCACCACGCCCGGCTTTGTTTTGTTTTTTCGAGATAGGGTCTCTATCTGTCACCCAGGCTGGAGTGGAGTGGCGTGATCTCGGCTCACTGCAACCTCTGCCTCCCAGGCTCAAGCGATTCTCCTGCCTCAGCCTCCTGAGTAGCTGGGGTTACAGGCGCGTGCCACCACGCCCAGCTAATTTTCGTATTTTTAGTAGAGACAGGGTTTTGCCACGTTGGCCAGGCTGGTCTCGAACTCCTGACCTCAGGTGATCTGCCCACCTCAGCCTCCCAAAGTGCTGGGATTTCAGGTGTGAGCCACTGCGTCTGGCCACAACAATATATTTTAAACTGGTAATGTCTTCAGTCACATACAAATTTTTTTTCTCAGTACATCTGCCCTGAACTTTAGGTTACTGATGTCATTGATCATATCTTTTTATATGAACAGATGTTTATAATTATTTTTACGCTTTTGTTCCTCCGCCGCCCAGGTTCAAGTGATTCTTGTGCCTCAGGCTCCCTATAGCTGGGACTACAGGTTTGTGCCATCACGCCCAGCTAATTTTTTTGTATTTTTAGTAGAGATGGGGTTTCACCATATTGGCTAGGCTGGTCCTGAACTCCCGACCTCAAGTGATCCGCCCACGTTGGCCTCCCAAAGTGCTGGGATTACAGGCGTGAGCCACCGCACCCAGCCCCTTTAGCATTTCTTGAGTATAGGTCTACTGATGACTTTTTCAGCATTTGCTTACCTTATATTCTTGAGCTCCATAATTTCTATTTCTTTTTATACTTTTTATCTTTTTGTTGATCTTCCATTTTCCTGATTTCATTTAGTTGTCTGTGTTCTTATTTCACTTATTAATGTTATTCACATGATTATTTTGAGTTTTTAAAGATAATTTATATATCTCCATTTCTTTAGGGTTGCTATCTGGATATTTATTTTTCCTTTTTGGGGCGTTAAGTACCCTGATACTTTGTATACATTGTAATCTTTTGTTCAGATTTGAAATTAACAAAAAGCCACCTGTTTCAATCTTTATAAAGTGGCATTGTTCTGGGAAATTCTGACACCAGTTGACCAGGCTAGAGATTATGGGAGCCTCTCAAACTTGTTCTTGGGATATGTCTTCTCTGGAATGGTGTTTTTTTTTGTTTGTTTGTTTGTTTGTTTTTTGAGACAGAGTCTCTCACTCTGTCTCCCAGGCTGGAGTTCAGTGCTGCAATCTCGGCTCACTGCACCCTCTGCCTCCCGGGTTCAAGCAATTCTCCTGCCTTAGCCTCCCAAGTAGCTGGGATTATAGCCACGTGCCACTATGCCTGGCTAATTTTTGTATTTTTAGTAGAGATGTGGTTTCACCGTGTTGGCCAGGCTGGTCTTGAACATCTGACCTCGTGATCTGCCAACCTCGGCCTCCCAAAGGGCTAGGATTACTGGCGTGAGCCACTGCACCCGGCTATTTTCTTAATTACAGAGGTTTTCACATGTTTCCTCTTAAGAGGCTGTAATCACTTGTTATATCTGTTGCCCATCTCTCGTACTGCAGTTTCTCATCTGCTATAACAACCATTTATTATTGGTCTCAACAGAACCAACCTGTCGGTCAAAGTATACCATCATTCCATTCAGTACTCTGTGTAATAGGAGACAGAAACCAGTCTTTTTCAAGCCCCCAAAAGTATGGACACATGTGCCACTATTTTCTTTATTTTCTGAGGGAGAAGTCGGAAGTTTACTCCTAAGGGCACCTACCTTATTGGAAAAAAGGTAGGGCTGTGGTGGGTAAATGGAACCAACTTTCCTTCCATTCTATGGGGCTTGTGGCATTGTGCTCACCTGCAAACCCTTCATTGATTTTTAGAGTTCTCAGAAAGGATTTTTAAAAAATTTAAAAAAATTTGTGGGTGCATAGTGTATATATTTATGAGGTACATAAGATATTTTGATACAAGCATGCAATGCAAAATAAGCATATCAGGGAAAATGGGGTGTCCATTCCCTCAAGCATTTATTTTTTGACTTACAGACAAATTATACTCTTTATTTTAAAATGTCCAGCTGAAATTATCTTTGACTATGGTCACCCTGTTGTGCTATTCAATAGTAGGTCTTTTTCATTCTTTTTAAGTAATTTTCTTGCACCCATTAACCATCCCCACCTCCCCCACCCACTCACCCACTACCCTTTCCAGCCTCATAACCATTCTTCTACTCTCTATCTCCATGAGTTAAATGTTTGGACTTTTAGATTCCACAAATAAGTGAGAGCATGTAATGTTTGTCTTTCTGTGCCTGGCTTATTTTACTTAACGTGGTGACCTTCAGTTCCATCTATGTTGTTGCAAATGACAGGATCTCATCCTTTCTTAAGGCTGAATAGTACTCCATTGTCTATAAGTAGTACATTTTCTTTTTTTTTTTGAGACAGAGTCTCGCTCTGTCACCCAGGCTGGAGTGCAGTGGCGCGATCTCGGCTCACTGCAAGCTCCGCCTCCCGGGTTGACGCTGTTCTCCCGTCTCAGCCTCCCGAGTAGCTGCGACTGCAGGTGCCCGCCACCACGCCCGGCTACACGTTGTTAGCCAGGATGGTCTCAATCTTTTGACCTTGTGATCTGCCCACCTCGGCCTCCCAAAGTGCTGGGATTACAGTTATGAGCCACCGCGCCCGGCCTATAAGTAGTACATTATCTTTATCCATTTGCCCATTGATGGATACTTAGGTTGCTTCCAAAGTCTGGCTGTTGTGAATAGTGCTGGAACCAACATAGGGGTGCAGGTATCTTTGATATACCTATTTCCTTTCTTTGGCCTATACATATGCAGTGGGATTGCTGGATCATATGGTACCTCTATTTTTAGTGTTTTGAGAAACCTCCAAACTGTTCTTCATAGTGGTGGTACTAATTTACATCCCCACAGTGTACGGGGTTTCTTTTTCTTTCCATCCTCACCAGCATTTGTTATTGCCTGGCTTTTGGATATAAGTGATTTTAACTGGGGTGAGATGATATCTCATTGTAGTTTTGATTTGCATTTCCCTGATGATCAGTGATGTTGACAACCTTTTCATATGCCTGTTTGCTATTTGTGTCTTGTTTTGAGAAATGTTTATTCACATCTCCTGAGCTTTTTCTGGCTCGGATTATTAGATTTTTTTCCTATAGAGTTGTTTGAGCTCCTTATAACTTGTGGTTGTTAATCTCTTGTCAAATGAGTAGTTTTCAGGTATTTTCTCCCATTCTCTGGGTTGTCTCTTCACTTTGATTGCATTCTTTGCTGTGCAGAAGCTTTTTAACTTGATATGTTCCCATTTGTCCATTTTTTTTTGGTTGTCTGTGTTTGTGCGGTATTGCTCCAGAAATTTTTGCTTAGACTAATGTCTTAGAGGTTTTTCTCAATTTTGTTTTTCAAAAAACTAATTTTTTGTTTCATTGATCTTTTGAATTGTTTTAAAATTTTAATTTCATTTATTTCTGCTCTGATCTTCATTATTTTTCTTCTACTAATTTTGGGTTTTGTTTGCGCTTGCTTTTCTAGTTCTGTAAGATGCATTGTTGGATTGTTTAGTTGAAGTTTTCCCTCTTTTTTGATGTAGGCACTTGTAACTATAAACTTCCCTGTTTGTACTGCTTTTGCTGTATCCCATAGGTTTTGGTATATTTTGTTTCTGTTATCATTTGTCTCAAGAAATTTTAAATTTCCTCCTGAATTTCTTTTAATTCACTGGTCATTTGGGAGCGTATTGTTTAATTTCCATGTATTTGTATAGTTTTGAAAATTCCTCTTTTCATTCTAGTTTTATTCCATTGAGGTCACAGAAAATGCTTGGTATTATTTCCATTTTTTGGATGCTTTAAGACTTGTTTTGTGACCTAACATTTGGTCTATCCTTGAGAATGATCCATGTGCTGAGGAAAACAATGTGTATTCTGCAGCTGTTGCATGAAACGTTCTGCAACTATCTATTAGATCCATTTGGCATATAGTGCAGATAAGTGCGATGTTTCTTTATTGATTTTCTGTCTAGTAGATTTGTCCAGTGCTGCAAATGAGGTCCTGAAGTATATAGCGGTTACTGTACTGGGGCCTCTCTTTAAAGTTCTAATAATATTTGCCTTATATATCTGGGTACTCTGGTGTTGGATAAATATATATTTACAATTGTTATATTCTCTTGCTGATTTTACTCTTCTATCATTATTTAATGACCTTCTTTTTCTCTTCTTATACTTTTGGTCTTGAAATCTGTTTTGACTGACACCAGTATAGTGACTCCTGCTCTTTTTTGTTTGTTTGTTTGTTTTTCATGGAATTTCCTTTTCCATTCTTTTATTTTCAGACTATGTGCGTTTTTATAGGTAAAGTGTCTTTCTTTCTCTCTCTCTTTCTCTTTTCCTTCCTTTCCTTTCTTTCCTTCCTTTTCCTCTCTTCCTCCCTCCTTCCCCTTCTCCTTTTCCTTCCTTCCTTCCTTCCTTCATTCATTCCTTCTTCTCTCTCTTTCTCCCTTCCCTTCCCTTTCCCCTCGTTCATCTCTCTCTTCCTTTCCTTTCCTTTCCCTTTCCCCTTTCTCCCTTTCTCCCTTTCAAGATGGGGTCTCACTGTGTCACCCAGGCTGAAGTGCAGTGGTGCAATCTTGGCTCACTGCAACCTCTGCCTCCCAGGCTCCAGCAATCCTCCCACCTCAGCCTCTCAGGTAGCTGGGACCACAGCCCAGCTAATTTTGTATTTTTGGTAGAGATGGGTTTCACCATGTTGCCTAGGCTGGTCTTGAACTCCTAAGCCCAAACGATCTGCTCGCCTCGGCCTCCCAAAGAGCTGGGATTACAGGTGTGAGCCACTGCACCTGGCCTCAAGTGTGTTTCTTAAAGGCAACAGGTCAGTGGGTCTTGTGTTTTCATCCATTCAGCCAGTCTATTTCTTTTGAATGGATAATTTACTCCATTTACATTCAATGTTGTTATTGGTAAGTAAGGCTTAATCCTGCCATTTTGTTACTTGTTTACTGGTTGTTTAGTGGTCTTCTTTCTTTCCTGTCTATGTTCCTTTAGTGAAGGTGATTTTCTCTGGTGATATGATTTAGTTTCCTGATTTTCATTTTTTGTGTATCCATTGTATGTTTTTTGGTTTGATGTATTTTAACGTGATAAGAACCTAACACTCTTTGCATAAAAAAGCAAGTGAAAAGAAAACTAATAAAAACTCTACGCCTTAGCTTAGTACTCCTGATTTTTAACTTTTTGCTGTTTCTTATTGTACTATGTTTTGAAAACTTGTTGTAGTTATCATTTTTGATTTGTTCATCATTTAATTTTTGTTTGTTTGACAAAGTTTCACTCTTGTTGCCCAGGCTGGAATGCAATGCCACAATCTTGGCTCACCACAACCTCCACCTCCCGGGTTCAAGCGATTCTCCTGCCTCAGCCTCCCGAGTAGCTAGGATTACAGGCATGCGCCACCACGCCCAATTAATGTCGTTTTTTTTTTTTTTTCTGAGACGGAGTCTCGCTCTGTTGCCCAGGCTGGAGTGCAGTGGCGCGATCTTGGCTCACTACAAGCTCCGCCTCCCGGGTTCACGCTATTCTTCTGCCTCAGCCTCCTGAGTAGGTGGGACTACAGGCGCCTGCCACCACGCCCGGCTAATTTTTTTTTGTATTTTTTAGTAGAGATGGGGTTTCACTGTGTTGGCCAGGACGGTCTCGATCTCCTGACCTCGTGATCCGCCCGTCTCGGCCTCCCAAAGTGCTGGGATTACAGGCGTGAGCCACCGCGCCCGGCCTAATGTCATATTTTTAGTAGAGACGGGATTTCTCTATGTTGGTCAGGCTGAACTTGAATTCCCGACCTCAGGTGATCTGCCTAATTAATGTTCTTTTCTGATTGAAGTACTCCTTTTATCATTTCTCGTAGGACAGGTCTGGTATTGATGAAATACCTCAGCTTTTGTTTGGCCATCCTTATTTCTCTTTATGTTTGAAGGATATTTTTGCTGGATATAATATTCTAGGGTAAAGGTTTTTTTTCTTTCAGCACTTTAAGTATGTCATACCACTCTCTCCTGGCCTGTAAGTTTTCCGGTGAAAAGTCTGCAGTGAGGCGTACTGGAGCTTCATTGTACGTCATTTCTTTTTTTCCCCCTTTGGCTGCTTTTAGGATTCTCATAATGGCATTTTGCTTAGTATATTTTTGTTAGGATTATGACTATGAAGGAATAAGGGCCTGTGGTATTTCATTATGCTATCTTGCTAATATGCTTGTATAATTTTATGCCTTAGATTTGTAAAGGATGCTATCTAGTAAGTGGAATAATTTGTTGTTTTTATTTTTTCCAGTTTTGTCTTCTTATCTTACTGAAGACATTTTGCCAGAGCAGGGCCTGCAAGTTTCATTCCAAAAAGTGATGCTGAGAAGATATGAAAGATGTTGTCTTGAGAAATTACGCTTAAGGAATGACTGGGAAATTGTGGGTGAGTGGAAAGGGCAGAAGGCAAGTTATAATGGACTTGACCTATGCTCAGCAACTACTCATAGCAAAAACTTTCAATGCAATAAATGTGTGAAAGGTTTTAGTAAATTTGCAAATCTAAATAAATGTAAGATAAGCCATACTGGAGAAAAACCATTCAAATGCAAAGAATGTGGCAATGTCTCTTGCATGTCTTTAATAATGACTCAACAGCAGAGAATCCATATTGGAGAGAACCCGTACCAATGTAAAAAATGTGGCAAAGCCTTTAATGAGTGCTCATGCTTTACTGACTGTAAGAGAATTCATGTTGGAGAGAAACATTGCAAATGTGAAGAATGTAATAACATTTTTAAGTCTTGCTCAAGTCTTGCTGTTGTTGAGAAAAATCATACTGAAAAGAAAACCTACAGATGTGAAGAATGTGGCAAAGCTTTTAACCTGTGCTCAGTTCTTACTAAACATAAGAAAATTCATACTGGAGAGAAACCATACAAATGTGAAGAATGTGGCAAATCCTTTAAGTTGTTCCCATACCTTACTCAACACAAGAGAATTCATAGTAGAGAGAAACCCTACAAGTGTGAAGAATGTGGCAAAGTCTTTAAATTGTTGTCATACCTTACTCAACATAGAAGAATTCATACTGGAGAGAAAACCTTCCGATGTGAAGAATGTGGAAAAGCCTTTAACCAGAGCTCACATCTGACTGAACATAGGAGAATTCATACTGGTGAGAAACCATACAAATGTGAGGAATGTGGCAAAGCTTTTACCTGGTTCTCATACCTTATTCAGCATAAGAGAATTCATACTGGGCAGAAACCCTACAAATGTGAGGAATGTGGCAAAGCTTTTACCTGGTTTTCATACCTTACTCAACATAAGAGAATTCATACTGGAGAGAAACCCTACAAATGTGATGAATGTGGCAAAGCTTTTAACTGGTTTTCATATCTTACTAATCATAAGAGAATTCATACTGGAGAGAAACCCTACAAATGTGAAGAATGTGGCAAAGCCTTTGGCCAGAGCTCACACCTTTCTAAACATAAGACAATTCATACCAGAGAGAAACCATACAAGTGTGAGGAATGTGGCAAAGCCTTTAACCACTCTGCACAACTTGCTGTACATGAGAAAACTCATACCTGAGAAAAACCCTACAATTCTAAACAATATGGCATAGTCTTTAATACCTATTCACAACTTCACAGCAGAATATTTTTACTGAATAAGAGTGTTACAAATGTAATGACTGTCAAAAGGCCATTTACAGTCTATGAGCCTTTGAGTGCACTAAAATGTTTAGGCTACGAACAATACAAATAGACCGGTTCAACACCTCCACTTATATCACAGCTCTTACTGTACACAGAAGAATTTATACTGGAGGGAAACCCTCCAGTTGCTCAAACTGTATTCAATTTCAAAGACTTTGTATTGGAGAGAAACCCTACAAATGTAATAAATGCAGAAACAACATTTGTTCAAAAAATATACCTCAGAAAACACCAGAGTGTTCACACTAAAAACTGTTTTACAGATGCAGTAAATGTGAAAAAATGTCTAATCAAAAATTACATCAAAACACATCCAAGAATTCATAGTAAAAAGCACTAAGTCACTGACACTTTCAGACATTACTGTAAATCTGAGTGTTGGTTATAGAGAATAATTCAAAGTTAAGTTAAAGTAAGTAGGAGATTCACCTTTTGGGGAAGTTATAATTACATTTCAAGTATACCTTTTGGTGCCAGGCACGGTGGCTCTTTCCTATAGTTGCTGCACTTTTGGATGCCGAGGTCGGGGGATTGCTTGAGCCCAGGAGTTTGGGACCAGGCTGGGCAACATGGCAAAACCTCATCTCTACAAAAAGTAAAATAAAAGCCAGGCTTGGTGGCACATGCCTGTTGTCCCAGCTACTTGGAAGGCTCAGGTGGGAGGATTGCTTGAGCCTGGAGGTTGAGGATGCAGTGAGCTGCTATCTGGCAACTTCACTCCTGCCTGGGCAACAGAGCAAGACCCTTTCTCAATAATAATAATAACAACATAATAATAAAGTATACTCGGTGCACTGAAAGAGTTTTAGCTTTTTTGAAAATCACATATTTATGTAATTCAAGTCTTAAATCACTTGATACCATGCCTTCATTTCTAGTGTTTATGTGAAGGCATGAGGCCTACTGTTGCTACATGAAAGCTGTGAGAGTTTCTTCTATATTCGGGTGGGTGTTGTTCATATCCTTTTCTTTGGAAGATTATGGACATTGCATTGTAAGCTTCCTGAAGAAATTTAACTGGAGAGGCTCTTTGTACTTGTCTTATAATAGGGTTGTAAGTGATTCATGAGATAGGTCTTCAGAGTACTATTCTGCATTATATTTAAGAAAGAAACATTTGAGTTTTACAAGTCAGTTGTTTTTCCTATTGCACATTAAGGTAATAAAATTCAGTGGATTTTGAAATGCTCTTTTTAGACTGTTTGAACTTAATTTGTTTTAATAAGACATTGTTTTAATGTCTTTGGACCGTTGTACATTAAGTGATGCGTATCCTACCACCAACGTTAACCTATCTCACCTTAGTTACGGTTGTAGGTAACAAATGGTAACAATACAATAGTGGGTAACATGGTGGAATAGTATCTCTAATGATCCCTTCTCCCAGTGGCATTAAACTTCAAATAATTTGAAAAATATTGTTCCCACACGTTACACCTTCATTCTGTTTGCTCTTTTTGTAATGACAGTGTCATTATTAAGGCTATAATAAAGCCTATATAGGATTATAATCAAAGACCGTGTATTTCTGAATCTTGAAGGACTATTCACAAAATTTTATTTACATTTTCCTTTTAACATGTGGCTTTTCTGGCCTGCAAAACATATACATGCTTTTAGTTTTGGTTTACATGGAGATAAATACATAAATATACTACTCTAAGGATAAATGTTAGGTGTAAGACAGTTATGAAGCAAGTAATGTGTTTGAAGTAAGTGCATACCTGTTTTCAGAATAAGAGAAAAATGTTGGAACCAAACATAATTTCAAAAGTATGGATAATTTATTAGCAAACTAGAAACCTCAAAAATGTCGAAGGCAAATCTGTTTTCTCTGCTTTGTATTGAAGGCATTTCTCTAAAATCTTATTTTGCAGAATTTCCACATGAAATTCCTGTTTTTACTTTTATGTTGCTCATGCTAGAGCTAACGTATAATTTTCTTGTTCCAAAATTCATGAAGAATTTCTTATGTGATCTTCTCAGGGATTATAATAATGATTTTATGAAACTTATTGGTGCTTAAAAAATAATCTGAAGATGTGAATAATTCCACAGTGAGTGTATTAATTTTCATTGTACTTAATTAGTACATTTCCATTTTTCCATTATTAGAGAACACTATTCGAGCCAACTTTTTTTGTTATTGTTTCTTTCACTTAATTGAGTAATTGAGTTTATTGACTCTATTGGGCAATTTGTTCAGATAAACACTTTGGAGGCTTTATAAGTCATAGGGCTATTTGGCATATAAATGAAGTGAAGAAACATAACGCAGTGCCAGATGTGTAGTAGATGTTCCATAATTAACAATAAATATTCTTTTTGGAGTGAAGTTGTGGCTCCAGGTAAGAGATTGGAAATATCCAGGATGAAGACCTGGCATTGATTCTGCATGCAGAGAAAGGACTTCTCTACCCAGGCTGCACAACTGACTCTCTCTGAAGAGGAATTCTGCTTTTATTTCCAAATTATCTCTGTTTTTTTGTGGTCTCTTTTTCTTTCTTCTCAACTACTTATGCATTCCAGCTCTCCTCCTTTTTTTTTTTTTTTTTTTTAAAACCTGTGTTATGGCTACACTTTCTCACTGTTCTCCACACAATATGTCATCTTATATAGTACTTTGTACATTCTAACAGGAAATTTGGACTTTCTCTTTTTCTTCTTCTTTTTTTTTTTTTTTTTTGGAGACATGGTCTCACTGTGTCACCCAGGCTGGTGTGCACTGGTGTAATCTCGGATTACTGCAACCTCTGCCTCCCAGACTCAAGCAATCATCCCACCTCAGCCCCCTGAGTAGCTGGGACTAGAAGTGTGCACCCCCACTCCTAGCTAATTCTTTTTTTAGTAGAGATGAGGTTTTACCATGTTCCCAGGCTTGTCTTGAACTCCTAAGCTCTAGTGACTGACCTGCCTTGGCCTCCTAAAGTGCTGGGATTATAGGTATGAGCCACACCTGGCCTGGAAATTTGAAATTTTTTAATGTGATGATAGATTTTTGTTTGTTTGTTTGTTTGTTTTGAGACTGAGTCTCACCCTGTCACCCAGGCTGGAGTGCAGTGGTGCAATCTTGGCTCACTGCAACTTCCACCTCCTGGGTTCAATCAAGTCTCTTGCCTTGGTCTGCCAAGTAGCTGCGATTACAGGCACGCACCACCATGCCTGGCTAATTTTTGTATTTTTAGTAAAGATGGGGTTCATCATGTTGGCCAGGCTGGTCTTGAACTCCTCACCTGAGGTGATCCACCCACCTCAGCCTCTCAAAGTGCTGGGATTACAGGCATGAGCCACTGCGCCCAGCCAATAGATTGACTTTTAACTGGAGAGTTTGAGGTCATTTATATTTTACAAAACTGACATTGTGATCATAGCTTACTGCAGTCTCAACCTCCCAGGCTCAGGTTATCCTCTCATCTTAGCTCCCTGGGTAGCTAGGAGTACAGCCACATGCCACCATGCCCAGCTAATTTTTTTTATTGTTTTGTAGAAATGAAGTCTCACTGTGTTTTCCAGGCTGATCTCAAGCTCCTGCGCTCAAGCAACCCCCCTACCTCAGCCTCCCAAAGTGCTGGCATTACAGGCATGTGCCACCATGTGGCCCAGCTACAAGCAACACATTCTTTTTTTTTTTTTTTGAGACAGAGTCTCGCTCTGTCACCCAGGCTGGAGTGTAGTGGCGCGATCACGGCTCACTGCAAGCTCTGCCTCCCAGGTTCATGCCATTCTTCTGCCTCAGCCTCCCAAGTAGCTGAGACTGCAGGCGCCCGCCACCACACCCGGCTAATTTTTTTGTATTTTCAGTAGAGACAGGGTTTCACCGTGTTCCCCAGGATGGTCTCAATCTCCTGACCTCATGATCCACCTGCCTCGGCCTCCCAAAGTGCTGGGATTACAGGCGTGAGCCACCGTGCCCGGCCAGAAAATTGTTTTTAAAATAAAAGACACCATTGATAATTGCATCAAATATATGGAATACTTAAGTCTATAGCTGACATAAAATATGTAAGAGTTGTACGGAGAAAATTTTCAAACTTATTTGAGAGATGTTTAAAAGGATATAAATAGATAGAGATCTCCTGACTTCGTAATCTGCCCGCCTCGGCCTCCCAAAGTGCTGGGATTACAGGCACGAGCCACCGCGCCTGGCCAAGCAACACTCTTAATGGAGGAGAGGGATGCACTGTCCATGGGCCAGAGAATTAAATCGGGCAGTTAGCATTGTTTGTTTGTTAAAAGAAAATATTTTAAAATCCTGACACAAAGTGTGGTGAATGTATAATTAATTAGAATAGGTAAAGCTTTAATAATATTGGACTATGTATTGTAAGCAGTGTGTAAATAAACATGTCAGAATTTGGAAATCTCTGAAGAGCAAATGTATCTTAGAAATTCTTAAGGAGAGTTAATGATAAGTGGATAATTTTGAATTTAATTTTCTATGAAACACTTACAGCACACCTTATGTTTCCATGCAGAACCTATTTTTGAATGTGTGTGTTGTGTTGAACAATAATAGAATGACTTCTGTGGATTTAAAATTTGAAATAATCTTTTTTTTTTTTTTTTTTGAGACTAAGTTTCACTCTTTTTGCCCAGGCTGGAGTGCAATGGCGCGATCTCGGCTCACCGCAACCTCCGCCTCCCAGGTTCAAGTGATTTTTCTGCCTCAGCCTCCCAAGTAGCTGGGAGTACAGTCATGCACCACCACGCCTGGCTAATTTTGTATTTTTAGTAGAGTCCGGGTTTCTCCATGTTGGTCAGGCTGGTCCCAAACTCCCAACCTCACGTGATCCGCCCACCTCGTCCTCTCAAAGTGCTGAGATTACAAGCTTTAGCCACTGCCCCCGGCCTGAAATAATCTTTCATTTAGATTTATTTTTGCAATCTTGGGAACTTTTTAAATCTCTTCCTATGTTTCATTGGGTGCAGTTGGCAGTCCATAGTCTTCATTCTTAATCACCTAGCTAGCCAACCGCTTGGCCATTCACTCTAAAGACATCTCAGAGATCATGGTAGCTTTTGGATTAAAACAATTTCCTCAGTGATTTTGGGGTGCTAAATTGTTTTCTGTGTTTCTACAATAGCCAAATTGGGACCATTAGCACTGTCTGCTTCTTTACTGTTTTCTATACCATCACCATCAGGAACAGCAGCTCCAGGTACCCCCAAGCTTAAAGTAAAAGTTCTAAAATATTTCAGTCCTTCCCATGTTCTGTGCTAGGCCCTGAGCACACTGGTAAATACCTGAGTTCCTGTACTGATGACGGACTAATAGAACAAAAACATCACGAAAACTTTATTTTTGAGTCTTTTCCACTGAGTTTATGAGAAAGACAGAAACATTTATTTCCCAAATATTCCCAAATATTATATATTTCAAAATTTGGGAAATATTTCTTTCAATATTTAGGAAATAAAGATGTCTCCTCAACCTACTGATTTTATTTTTGTGGATATATATCCAATAGTAAAATTGCTGTGTCATATGGTAGTTCTATTTTGAATTTTTTTGCGGAAATCATCATACTGTTTTTGGCAGTGGCTGTATTGGTTCACATTCATACCAACAGTGTGCTAGCATTTTTCTTTCCCCACACTTTCGCCAACACTTATCCTCTGTCTTTTTGATTATAGTCGTTCTAACAAGAGTGAGGTGATACCTCATAGCAGTTCTGATTTGCCTTTCCTTGATGATTATTGATGAACATTTAAAAATATATGTGTTGGTCATTTGTAGGTCTTTTGAAAAACATATTTAGATATTTTCCCCATTTTTAATATCTTTCTGTCATATAGTTTAAGTTCTTATGTATTTTCAATATTAACCCATCCGACATATAATTTGAATATTTTTTCATTCTGTGGTTGTCTCATCATATCATTGATTGTAGCTGGTGCTGTACAGAAGCTTTTTAGTTGAAAGAAGTTTCATTCATTTTTGCTTGTGTTGCCTGGGATTTTTACATTAAATCTAAAAAATTATTGCCCAGACTAATGTCATGGTACTTTTGCCTTATGTTTTCTCATAATAGTTTCAGGTTTCAGGATAGTTGTGATGAGTATCCCATCATGTGAATGCACTTAATGCCTCTAAAATGTACACTCAAAAATGGGTAAACTCGGCCGGGTGCGGTGGCTCACTCCTGTAATCCCAGCACATTGGGAGGCTGAGGCGGGTGGATCAGTTGTGGTCAGGAGTTCAAAACCAGCCTGGCCAACATGGTGAAACCCTGTCTCTACCAAAAAATACAAAAATCAGCAGTGTGTGGTGGTGCACGCCTGTAATCTCGGCTGCTTGGGAGGATGAAGCATGAGAATCACCAGAACCTGGGAGGTGGAAATTGCAGTGTACTGAGATCGCGCCACTGCACTCCAGTCTGAGCGACAGAGTAAGAGTCTGTCTCAAAAAAAAAAAAAAAAAGTGGCAGGGGGGCAAATCTTATAGTTTGCATATTTCATTACTGCTTTAAAAAGGGAAATTAACAGCTTTAGGTATAATATAACAGCCAAATAGTACAGGTCTATAACTAGAAAGTGACTAAATGTATCATTTTATAAGAATAAAATCAGTCTTTCAAGGCTGTTTAAAAATATGTAACTGATTGACAAATTATGTATTCAAACACAGCATAAGTTTTTTTTTTTTTTTTTTTTTTTTTTAAATACAGAGTCCAGGCTGTCGTCCAGGCTGGAGTGCAGTGGCGCGATCTTGGCACACTGCAAGCTCCGCGTCCCAGGTTCACGCCATTCTCCTGCCTCAGCCTCCTGAGTAGCTGGGACTACAGGCGCCCGCCACCACGCCTGGCTAATTTTTTGTATTTTTTTTTTTTTTAGTAGAGACGGGGTTTCACCGTGTTAGCCAGGATGGTCTCAATCTCCTGACCTCGTGATCCGCCTGTCTCGGCCTCCCAAAGTGCTGGGATTACAGACGTGAGCCACTGCACCCGGCCAGCATAAGATTTTTATATGAGTAATTGGGAAGGCTTCTATAAATATAAGGTAAAACTTAACGAGTTATTTAGAATGACGTATTTTAATTTTTTTAGAAAGATTAAACAGTCAAATTATTTAGTAATGGGGATAATTCATTTTAAAGAATACTCTAAACTAACAATTATGAGCAAATTATGTGAAACAAAAAGATTGCCTAAAAATAAATTTCTCAACCATATTCATAATTTAAGAAATATGGTTAGATTTGGAATGCGAAATTCATTTAGATAATTTCACCTAGCGAATGGGTAGTAAAGATTTCAATAACATTTCTGAGGCTATCAATTAAAAGATAATTTTCAAGGCTGTGAAAGAAGAGGAGAGCTGAAGGAGGTCTCAAGGATCTGTAGTGCCCGTGGTATGATGCACGTCTTTCCTTGAAATGGCAAAATCAAAAGCCCAGTCCCCTGGGTGAGATTCTTCTAACTAGGTAAATTACCCAGGATGCTCTCCTGGCTATGACAAACGGAATCAGGAGAAACGAGGGCTGTATTCTAAGTCTGGGTGTGGTCCCGTACCCCTCAAACCTCCGTTGTCACCACCACCGTCTTCTCCACATCTTCCCCCATGTCATCCCCAAAGCAACAGGAACAGTTCCAAAAACAACCCACCAAAGGACTCTATTTTTGAGTTATCTCCCCTTGTGGATCTCAGTGTTTCCTCCAGGTGTGTTCACCCAGAGCAGCTCTCTAGGATCTGAGACAGATTCCAGCCCAGGCCATGTAAAGACTTTAGATCCTAGCCTAGGTTACACGTGTATACCCGGAATGGATATGTACCTGACTGTTGTAGACTTTGAACAGTAGTCAGGCTTCCAAGGTGAAACCACAGAAGTCCAACACACATGACCTCATTTCTCACACTTGGATAAACAAGACTAGAGTCCACTTAAAAGCATTCACGATCACTGTATCTTACTGCATCTCACGCGGGCCACTGTCTTCACTGGAGAACATCATCATACTGGGCAGCCAGAGAAGTTCTTCAAGTCATTTCCCCGACAAGCAGCTTTGGAAACACCTGAAAATTTGCAACAAAGCAGACCAGACTGCTGAGTGAGTAACATGAAGGAGAGGCCCAGCAACCCGTTATCCTACAGCCCTCCAGGTGGTTCTGGTCCATTCTACGTGCAGCAGCCTCTGCAGTACCTGAGCCGTAGTTTATCCTGAGTTAACATAGTCATACTAGGAATACGCCATACACATGTGGTAACTTTAGAGCTGGACTCAAAACTCCAAAAATGTATGAACAAAAATAGGTCTGACCGACTCCACAGCCTTTATTGGTTTCTTGCTCTTTCCCATCTTCCTTCACTGCTTCCTTCTGTTCCTGGGATCACCTTTCAAGTAAATCACTTGCTTTTATGTGTTGCATCATCATCATGCAAATTAAAGCACCACAATTTATTGAACATTTTATCAAAATGTAAAACCTTACAAAAGATTAACAGGTTATGTTTGATTATGGGATTGAATATTACATTCTCACTGTTGTGTTTGATAATTTTCATTACAAAGTCATAAGTAATCAAATGATTAGACAGCTGTTTAATTATACCTCTAAAGAATAAGCATTCCATTTGCTTACATAATTATTGTGACTCTGGGATGAATGTATTCTGAATTTGAGGGTTTTTTCATAACACCCTGTTCCAGTGCACAATGTAAATAGCCTTTTTGTCAGAACTCATGATAGTACAGGTAGCAGCAGCCACTCCCAATCATGTCTCCTGTGTTCTGCTACAGAGAAATGTTTCTGCTTACATTGGTGGCCGAGTGATAGTGTTCTGCTCCATGAGATTTAGAGAGAAGTGCCTGAACAGGTTGGCCTTCTCTGAATTAAAAAACACTGGTTTTTAATAACATTCCCTGTCCTATTAGCTTCACATTTTTCTCCTTGTTGCTGTTTGGAATGTGATTCAATTGCCTGGAGGTGGATCAGCCGACTTGGGTTCTGAAGGAGTGAGCTTGAGCACAATGACCAGGTGTAGACCATTTCAGAGACAGGAAATGGAAAGAAACTGGCACACTATAAGGTCACTGCACTATTAGTTCTGCTGCCCAAGTACGTAAGAGTACACCTCATATGTTCTGATACTATACAAAAGTCTTTTCTTTGTAGCTGAACGCAAACTAATTGCTACAGAATGAGATGTATGAAAGTTTTTAGAATCAAAATGAAATCACCAATGTCATAAAAACTCTGACAAATAGAGATGCTGGAAGAGAGTGTTATTAAGCTTATACACCTGATAACAAAGCTATCCTAAAAGACTTTTAAAAACTTTATCCTTTTGCCGGGTGTGGTGGCTCATGCCTGTAATTCCAGCACTTTTGGAGGCTGAGGCGGGTGGATCACGAAGTCAGGCTTTCGAAACCTGGCCAACATGGCAAAACCCCGCCTCTACTAAAAACAACAAAAATTAGCCAGGTATGGTGGCGGGCACCCGTAGTCTCAGCTACTCAGGAGGCTGAAGCAGGAGAATCGCTTGAACCCAGGAGGCAGAGGTTGCAGTGAGCCAAGATCACACCACTGCACTCCAGCCTGGGCGACAGACCGACTCTGTCTCAAAAACAACAACAAAAAATGTATCCTTTCATAAAGGCCTTCACAACCTTGTACAAAACATTTCTATTGAGCCATTAAAATACCAGTGGGCACTGATGAGTAGATTTATTTTGGCACATATGAAAGTTTTTGTTAGCTGGCACAACGCTCTTACATTTATATCTGGGGCTTGAGGGAACATAAAAAATGCTCATAAACTTTGCGAATGGCAGGGAACTGGGAATGATAGAAAATATGTGCGTAACTGATCTGAGGTTGACTTTGTAAGTATTGTTGTAGTTTGGATATGTGTCCCTGCCCAAATCTCATGTTGAATTGTAAATTTATAATGTCTAAAGTTTAAAAAGTAGCTGCTTCTCATTCTGGTTTTCTGAACTTTATAGAGGCAAATAAATTTTCAGTCTGATTTGGGGGTCTCTTATTTGGCTTTGCATTTTCTCTTCAGGATAAATTCAGTGTTATTTATTTATTTATTTATTTATTTGAGACGGAGTTTCGCTCTGTCGCCCAGGCTGGAGTGCAGTGGCGCGATCTCAGCACACTGCAAGCTCTGCCTCCCGGGTTCATGCCATTCTTCTGCCTCAGCCTCCCGAGTAGCTGGGACTACAGGTGCCCGCCACCATGCCTGGCTAATTTTTTGTATTTTTAGTAGAGACGGGGTTTCACCGTGTTAGCCAGGATGGTCTCGATCTCCTCACCTCGTGATCTGCCCGCCTTGGCCTCCCAAAGTGCTGGGATTACAGGTGTGAGCCACCGCGCCCGGCCAGTGTAATTTACTCCTTTTGTCATGTGTTGTTTATTTACAGCAAATGTTGCCTACTACAACATTCCCACTGAAATAGAATGTCTTATGTCTTTGAATGCCTCAAAAGGATTTAAAGAAATAATAACTGATCCTTGAGCACATATACCTACAGGGATATAGCAATCATTGAGCTAAATAATTAGCTAATTAAAAAATTGTTTTGCAAATGTAGAAATGACTATTTCATTCTTGTTGTGGTGCTTCTGTAACCTTGTGTTCTGTCCCCCATGTGGACAGTGTGCCACATCTAGTTTCTGCATAGATTTCAAGAGAGACATAAGGACAAGTTTTTTATGTGTGAGGATGCAGCTTAGGGCAGCAACATTGCACACCAATTATAAACCAATAAAGTTCTTGTCCCTGCCTCTCCCTCAGCGTCTCCCTCACCAGCCAGTATCAGCAGATGGTCTATCTCATTCTTCATGGGAAAACAGAAACTGTTCATCTTATGCTTGGGAAGCCTCTCTCTCTTAACCTTGAGATTTCCCTTCAGAGATGGTCGTTTCCTCCTTCCCTCCTGCCTAATAGAATAAGTTATTCTCTTCGCCTAATAGAATAAGTTGTTCTCTTCGCCTAATAGAATAAGTTGTTCTCTTCTCTTTTACCTCTTTTGAGACTTAGCCTCTTTAAAGATTCCCTTTTGTTTTAGTTGTCTTCGATTTTTCTTTCACTTGGCTTAATTCCCTCAGAGACATAATTTAAATCATTTTCTTGATACTGTCTCCTGCTCAGTTTACACCTTAGCTTACTCCTTACTGTCAATGAAAATCTTGGGAGGGTTGTATATGCTTCCTAGCTCCTCTGCCTCATGATTACTCCTCAGCCCTCAGCATTTGCATGCCAAACTCTGAACTTTCATGTTCTCAGCATGTTAGTAAAACTGTTCTTGTTTCATTTTACTTAAGTTCGAAGCACTGTATTATTGCTCCCACAGCCCTCAGTCCAAAACTTCAGTGCATTGTAATTGTTAAAATCTTCATCACATTGTATTTTAATGGTCTGCGTTCATATGTTTCCTCCGTAGACTAAGCTTCTAGAAGGCAGAAAAATGGATTTATATAGATTGCATATTTCCTTTGGAGTTAAATGTAGGTCATGACACATAAATATATGGAAAATACACTATCCAATAAATTCACAATAAATATTGGTGGATATCAGTGTTCCGAAGTTACAATTTCTGCTTATATTCATTTTGCCAACAGCATATCACTCATTTATTTATTTATGAATGCAGTACGTATTCATGGAATGCCTACACTGTCATAAAATCTGTCTTAAGAATTGGTTTATATGGTGAATGACAATATATGTAAGGATCCTTAGCCTATGGAACTCACAATGTGGTTAAAGGAGACTAATCGTAAATGCAAAAACAACTAATTAAGATATTTTCAAATAATAAATGGAATGAAGTAAATAAAAATGAATAATGGTACAGTGAGTGGGTCTCCATGAGGCTCGGAAGGGAAGAACTCTCTGAGGAAGTAATAATGGAGAAGAAAGATGAAAGGAGTCAGCCATACAAAGACCTTCCAATCACAGGAAGTGACAAGGTTGAAAGGAACCAAAAGCAAGGGAAAGCTGGCCATGTTCCCGAAAAGTCAATAAGGCCACTGTGGCGGTGGGTCAGCAGGAGAGGTGGTGAGAGGAGTGAAATGCCTGGGACTAGATGTGCTGCTTTTCTGGAAAGATCTGGGCTAGACAATGTCAACTTACCAAGCTTATTTCTACCTCAGAGTCCTCATGTACCTGCTATTCCATATCTGCATTGATTTTCCCTTTTCCCTTTATCCTGGGAAGCAAGGCTTCTCCTTCTCTCCCTCTCACCTGAGTATTACTCTTCCATTATGCCCACTCTCTTTTATAGTATCATATCTATGTTTTTTATTTTAATTGTGGTTAAAAAAGCCACATGATATGAAATTTACTCCCTTAGGAAAATTTTAGATGTATGATACGATATAGCTAACTATATGTACATGGTAGTCCACAAATCTCTAGAACTCTTCTAGTACTTTTGATCTTTGCCTCTCTTGTTTTTTCTCCCCAGAGCCAAAAACAGGTGTTAGTCTACTGTATCTTAGCTCTGGAGGGACTCATAACCCAGTATTTTGAATCCTAGACCAGAGATCTGATATTCCAATGCATGTTAGAAGTACTCTTGCTTTGTGTCTTTGGGCTGGTCTTCCCGAATAACTGATAGTAAGGTGCTCCTGCAGCATAGTTCAGACTCTTTCCTCACAAGCTCTGTGGGTTCTTTTTAACATGTAATAGGTTTTTTGTTGTTGTTTTTTGTTTGTTTTTTTTTGTTTGTTTGTTTGTTTTTTATTCCAAATAAGCTAGGCAATTAATAAGTTAGCAATGGATGGCCTGGAAAATTTCATTACCCAAGCCTTACATTATCAGCACATCTGCTTATGAAAAAATACTTAATACTTAAAAATACTTAAAATAATTAATAATTCTTGATTATCTCCAGGAAGAAGGAAACCACTGACAGGCAACCTGGGAGGGAGTGAACGGTTATACTGAGGCCATGAAAGGCACTGACATTCACACATAATAGGGTAATAAAAGGGAATTCACATCTATTGAGTGCCTACATGGGTGGGATATAATTTGGTTCTTAAGATGCACCAGCTGTGGAGTCCATCAGACCTGGATTTGAATCCCAATTCCATCATTCATCATTATGTGATTGTGGATATGTTTTTAACCCCTCTGATCTTCGCTTTTCTCATCTATAAAAGATGCCTTTTTCAAGTTGTTATGAGGCTTAAACAAGATAATTGTGTACGAATCTGGGCAAAATGCCTGTAATTTTGTGTTTAATACATAGAAGAGTATCATCCTTCTCTCATTTAATTTTTAGAGCAAACAAAGTCTGTGGTAATCATTTTTTTATAGTTAAATCAAGGATCAGAAAGATGAAATCACCATAGCCACATAGCAACTCACGGTACACATTCACATGATAATTGCTGGTCGCAAGTAGCAATGATAATCACATGTATAATCTCACATTATGTAGTGGTTTTACTTTACATAAGCCTCCTTATTTGTTGGAACCATAGATTCTAAGTTGCTCTATCAAAGCAATCATTAGAAATATGTGACGTTCGGCCGGGCACGGTGGCTCATGCCTGTAATCCCAACACTTTGGGAGGTTGAGGCGGGCAGATCACCTGAGGTCGGGAGTTCGAGACCAGCCTGACTGACATGGAGAAACCCTGTCTCTACTAAAAATACAAAATTAGCCTGGTGTGGTGGCGCATGCCTGTAATCCCAGCTACTCGGGAGGCTGAGGCAGGAGAATCTCTTGAACCTGGGAGGTGGAGGTTGCGTTGAGCCGAGATTGCCCCATTGCACTCCAGCCTGGGCAACAAGAGTGAAACTCCGTCTCAAAATATATATATATATATATGTTCTTAGTGTACACATTTTAGGAAATTTCCTATTACTCTTCTGTTTGATTTAATGTGTGTGATATTTTCAGAAATATGTAAGAATTTATATAGTATATATATATATATATATACACATTAAAAATATAAGTTGACATCACAGAGTAGACTTGACTCATGACAAATTTTTTTTCTGAAAGCACCTGCAGAAATCGGTGTTCTTTTGCGTTTCTAAAAAACCCAGAGGCTGCCGGGCTCAGTGGCTCACGCCTGCAATCCCAGCACTTTGGGAGGCCAAGGTGGGTAGAACTCAAGGTCAGGAGTTCAAGACCAGCCTGGCCAACATGGTGAAACCCTGTCTCTACTAAAAATACAAAAATTAGCTGGGCGTGGTGGCAGGTGTCTGTAATCCCAGCTACTTGGGAGGCTGAGGCAGAGAACTGCTTGAACCCGGGAGGTGGAGGTTGCAGCGAGCCGAGATCACGCCATTTACTCCAGCCTGGGCGACAGAATGAGACTTCATCTCAAAAAAAACTCAGAGGCCACTGGGGAGAGGAGGCTTTTTGGATTCCCAGTAGTGCACAAGACTTAGATTTGATTACAGTAGTAATTTAAGCATAATCCATTGTAAGGTGATGATCCAGAGAGACTTCATAACAACGCAGAAACTTAAAAGCTCCCAGCAGCCAGAAAGGAAGGAAAATCAGAATTATGGTGGGGCAGGGCAACCACTTGGGGGGTTGCTGTGGGAGGGGACAGCCACCGGTTTGGGTAGCCACAGGGCATTGTGAGCCAAGTGCCTGGGACAGGAACTCTAGGAGTGATTGGTTTCTGGTAACCAGGTGACCTAGGAGGCCTGGTTAGTAGGCACAGGCCAGTGGCCTTCAGTCGGCAGTCAGTGGCAAGAGGAGGCGGAGCACCGACCTGCTACAGTGCTTTCTCCCTGCATGGTTGCGCTTCTCTGCACTTGTTGGGCTCCATCCATTTTAAATAAACCAGCAGGCCCCTGCCCTCAGGGGCAAGTTGTCTGAGCCGGGGGAGGGAAGGAGCTGAGGCAATCCCAGCACTTTGGGAGGCCCCGGTGGATGGATCACCTGAGATCAGGAGTTCAAGACCAGCCTGGCCTTGAACTCCTGATGAAGTTCAAGATGGTGAAACCCCGTCTGTACTAAAAATACAAAAAATTAGCCGGGTGTGGTGGTGCACTGTGGGCGGGAAGCCACCCAGGTGCCAAGGCAAGAGACCAAGGGCACAAGCTGTTGCAGTATAATAAAGAAAATGTATAGAATAAGAATAGTTATACTAGAAATAGATTACAGATATGATTATATATAAATATCATTAATCATTAGTTTCTAGCATTACTCTTTATTCCAATATTATAATAATCTTTGTTTTACAGTATAACCTAGGAAAAACCAGGCCAAACAGAGATAGGAGCTGAAGGGACACAGTGAGAAGCGACCAGAAGGCAAGAGTGTGAGCCCTCTGTCATGCCCAGACAGGGCCACTAGAGGGCTCCCTGGTCTAGCGGTAGCGTCAGTGCCTGGGGAAGGCTCCCGTTACTTAGCAGACCAGGAAAGGGAGTCTCCCTTTCCCTGGGGAATTTAGACAAGACTCTGCTCCACCACCTCTTGTGGAAGGCCTGACATCAGTCAGGCCCACCCACAGCTATCCGGAGGCCTGACCGTCTCCCTGTGATGCTGTGCTTCAGCGGTCACACTCCTGGCCCGCTTTCATGTTCCGCCCTGTACAACTGGCTCCGCCTTCTAGATAGCAGTAGCAGAATCAGTGAAGACTAAAGTCTTTGAAATGCACAGAAGAAATAATGATGTAAGCTGCCCTCTCTCTCTGCCTGGGCTACCAAATGGAAGGGCCCCCTCTCCGGTGGACAGGTGACTCGTGTGACCTTACCTATCATTGGAGATGGCTCACACTCCTTACCCTGCCAACTTGTCTTGTAGCCAATAAATAACAGCGCAGCCATGCATTCGGGGCCACTACCCATCTCCGCATTTAGGTGGTAGTAGTCCCCTGGGCCCAGCTGTCTTTTCTTCTATCTCCTTGTCTTGTGTCTTTATTTCTACGATCTCTCGTCTCTGCACACAAGGAGAAAAACCCACAGACCCAATAGGGCTGGACCCTACAGCGCATGCCTGTAATCCCAGCTACTCGGGAGGCTGAGGCAGGAGAATCGCTTGAACTCGGGAGGTGGAGGTTGCAGTGAGCCAAGTTTGCACCATTGCACTCCAGCCTGGGCGACAGAGCGAGACTTCGTCTCAAAACACAAAAACAAACAAACAAACAAAACACTTTGTTTTTAGCCGTTCTACTAAGGGTCTTTACTCCTCACCCTAAGTCTTCAACAAGGGCTCTCCACTCTGCCTGTTAGGAACTCACATTTACCAGCCCTGTGTCAGCTTTGGGAATTGTTTAGCTTATAGATTCCCGTCAATTAATTGTTCCTTGCCAGGCTTGGTGAGTTTCACCTTATACATGCCAGATTAGTATTCATGCCAAGTCTCAAGGGGACTCGTATGCAGATTTCTGGAGCTCTCTTTACATAGCTTCTTCCTCTTCAATACTCTGCCTCACAAATTGCAAACTGCCGTAGCCATCCCCACCTCCAGTCTTTCCTCAACTCAGCAAGATCTCTTGGGCTCTGTTTGGATTCCTTACACAACAACTCGAAAATTGCCTGCAGACAAAGAACTGGAGTGATTGTAGGGCTCACCTCTGTTTCCCTCCTCTCCGAGATCACACTTTACACTACCTACAGTCCTAATATTTGAATACAGTTGTTTCGTATATTTTGTCAGTTTTCTAGTTGTCTATGCCAGAAGGGGAACATCTGTCTCAATCACTCTTTCACTGTCGGAACAGAAGTTACTGATTTGTTCTTAACACTAGTTTACTTTGAATTAATGCGTAATTTAAAACTCAAAAACACCTGTGTTAAAAGAGCTGCTCTCTATACTAAGTGCTATGATAGCAATACTGGAAAGGATTTTAGGAGAAGATACTCAAGTTGACTCTTTAAGTATCTCTAACTTTACAAGGCCTGTGGTTTGGCTCTGCGTTCCCACCCACATCTCATGTTGAATTGTAATCCCCAATGTTGGAGGAGGGGCCTAGTGGGAGGTGATTGGATCATGGGGGTGGACTTCTCCCTTGCTGTTCTCGTGATAGTAAGTTCTCACGAGATCTGGTTGTTTAAGAATGTGTAGCACTTCCCCCTATGCTCTCTCTCTTCCACCAGCTATGTGAAGATGTGCTTACTTCCCCTTTGCTTTCCACCATGATTGTAAGTTTCCTGAGTCCTCCCCAGAAGCAGAAGCCTGTACAGCCCACAGAACCCTGAGCTGACTAAATCTCTTTTCCTTACAGATTATCCAGACTCAGGTAGTTCTTTATAACAATGTGAGAATGAACTAATACAGAAAAGTGGTACCAGAGAGTTGGGACATTGCTATAAAGATACCTGAAAATGTGGAAGTGACTTTGGAACTGGGTAACAGGCAGAAGTTGGAAGAGTTTGGAGGGCTCAGAAGAAGACAGGAAGATAAGGAAAAGTTTGGAACTTCCTAGAGACTTGTTGAATGGTTGTAACCAAAATGCTGATGGTGATATGGACAATGAAGTCCAGGCTGAGGAGTTCTCAGATGGAGATGAGGACCTTATTGGGAGCTACAGTAAAGGTCACTCTTGCTATGCTTTAGCAAAGAGACTAGTGGCATTGTGCCCCTGCTATAGGGATCTGTTGAACTTTGAACTTGAGAGAGATGATTTAGGGTATCTGGCAGAAAATATTTCTAAGTAGCAAAGCATTCAAGATATGGCCTGGCTCCTTCTAACAGTGTATGCTCATATTTCTGAGGAAAGAGATTATCTGAAACTGGAACTTACATTTAAAAGGGAAATGGAGTATTAAAGTTTGGAAATGTGCAGCCTAGCCATGTATTAGAAAAGAAAAAACCATTTTCTGGGGAGGAATTCAACCTAGCTGCAAAAATTTGTGTAAGTAAAGAGGAGCCGTATGTTAACAGCCAAGACAATGGGAAAAATGCCCCCAAGACATTTCAGAGACTTTCGTGGCAGCCCCTCTCATCACAGGCCTGGAGGCCTAGGAGGGAAAAACAGTTTTGTGGGTCAGGCTTAGGGCCCTGCTATTCTGTGCAGCCTTGGGACCCTGTTCCCTGTGCTTTAGCTGCTCCAGCTCCAGCCATGGCTAAAAGGACTCCAGATATGTTTCAGGTTGCTGCTCCAGAGGGTATAAGACACAAGCCTTGGAGGCTTCCAGATGGTGTTAAGCCTGCAGGTGCTCAGAGGGCAAGAGTTGAGGCTTGGGAGCCTCCATTCTTTCAGATTTCTGAGGATGTATGGAAACAACTGGATATCCAGGCAGAAATTTGCTTCAGGGGCGGAGCCCTTGTGGAGAACCTCTACTAGGGTACTGTGGAGGGGAAATATGGGGTTGAAGTCCCCACAAAGAGTCTCCACTGGGGCACTGCCAAGTGGAGCTGTGAGAAGAGGGCCACTGTCCTCCACACCCCAGAATGGTAGCTCCATCAACAGTTTGCACTGTGTGCTTGGAAAAGCCACAGGCACTCAACACCAGCCTGTGAGAGCGGCCATGGGGCACTAAGCCCTGCAGAGCCGCCAGAAGCAGAGCTGTCCAAGACCTTGGGAGCCTACCCCTTGCATCAGTGTGGCCTGGATGTTAGACATGGAATCAAAGGATATTATTTTGGAGCTCTAAGATTTAATGACTGCCCTGCTGGGTTTCGGACTTGCATGGGGCCTGTAACCCCTTTGTTTTGGCCAATGTCTCCCTTTTGGAACAGGAACATTTACCCAATGCCTGTACCCTTATTGTATCCTAGATGTAACTAACTTGCTTTTGATTTTACAGGCTCATAGGCAGAAGGGACTGCCTTATCTCAGATGAAACTTTGGACTTGGACTTTTGAGTTAATGCTGAAATGAGTTAAGACTTTGGGAGACTGTTTGGAAAGCATAATTGTGTTTTGAAATGTGAGGACATGATATTTGGGATGGGCCAGGAGTGGAATGATATGGTTTGGCTCTGTGTCCCCACCCAAATTTCATGTCAAATTGTAATCTTCAATGTTGGAGGAGGGTCCTGGTGGGAAGGTAATTGGATCATGGGGGCAGACTTCTCCTTTGCTGTTCTCATGATGAGTGAGTTCTCATGATACTTGATTGTTTAAAAGTGTATAGCATTTCCCCCTTTGCTCTCTCTCTCCTGCCAGCCATGTGAAGATGTGCTTGCTTCCCCTTTGCCTTCTGCCATGATTCTAAGTTTCCTGAGGCCTCCCCAGAAGCAGAAGCATGTAAAGCCCACAGAACCGTGAGTTGATTAAATCTCTTTTCTTTATAAATTACCCAGTCTCAGGTGGTTCTTTATAGCAATGCAAGAATGGATTAATACACAAGGCCAGGTCAAAACTCCTGATCTTCCCCTGAAACCTGCCCCTGCAAGTCTTCCCCTATCTCAGCTAGTGGCAACTTCATCCTTAGAGTTTCTCAGACCCAAAACCTTGACATCATCCTTGTCACCCCTTTTTCTCTTTTATCCCCCATTCATGCCATTAGGAGATCCTATCTGACCTTTAAGCTATATCCAGAATTCAACTATGTCTTGCCACCTCTACTGCTCCCACCCTTGTCCAGGCCACCAGCATTTCTAGCTTGGGGTTTTGCAACAGTCTTCTAACAGCTGTCCTTGCCTCTACCCTTGTCTTCTTACAATCTATTCTCAATCCAGTGGCTTTTTAATATATAATCCTTTTAATATGTAACGTTTAGGCTGGGTGTGGTGGCTCACACCTGTAATCCCAGCACTTTGGGAGGCCGAGGCAGGCGGATCACCTGAGGTCGGGAGTTCGAGACCAGCCTGACCAACATGGAGAAACCCCGTCTCTACTAAAAATACAAAATTAGCCAGGCATGGTGGCGCATGCCTGTAATCCCAGCTGCTGGGGAGGCTGAGGCAGGAGAATTCCTTGAACCTGGGAGGCGGAGGTTGTGGTGAGCCAAGATTGCGCCATTGCACTCCAGCCTGGGCGACAAGAGTGAAACTCTGTCTCAAAAAATAAAAACAACAAAAAAAGTAACATTTAATATGATTTATTTAATATGTAACTCCTCTGTTCAAACCCTCCAATAACTCCTCATCTCACTATCTCACTTAGAGTAAAACCTTGCAGTGGCTCACAGGACCTCCCCACAACTTTCTCATTTTGACTTTTTTTTCCTTTAAAAATAGGGTCTTGCTCTTTGCCCAGGCTAGAGTGCAGTGATGTGATCATAGCTCACTGTAAACTTGAACTCCCAGGGTCAAGCGATCTCTCACCTTAGCCTCTTGGGTAGCTAGTACTACAAGAATGTGCCCCCATACCTAGCTGATTAGAAAAAAGAATTGTAGAGACAGGTTCATGCTATGTTGCCCAGGCTGGTCTTGAACTCCTGGACACAAGTGATCCTCCTGCCTCAGCCTCCCAAAGTGCTGGGATTACAGGTGTGACTCACTGTGCCGTCTCACTTTGAATTTTTTTTGGTGGGGGGATGGAGTCTTGCTCTGTCGCCCAGGCTGGAGTGCAATGGCGCAATCTTGGCCTACTGCAACCTCCACCTCTGAGGTTCAAGTAATTCTCCTGCCTCAGCCTCCCAAGTAGCTGGGATTACAGGTACCTGCCACCATGTCCAGCTAATATTTAGTAGAGATGGGGTTTCAACATGTTGGCCTTGTTGGTCTCAAACTCCTGACCTCAAGTGATGCGCCTGCCTTGGCCTCCCAATGTGCTGAGATTATAGGTGTGAGCCACCGCGCCCGACCTCACTTTGACTTTTATTCTCTCACTTGCTCACTGTCCTCAGGCCATCTGGCCTTTTTCTACTTCCTTCACAGTTGAAGTATGCCTCTGCCCCAGGCTCTTTGCCCTTATTCTTAACTTTTCTCTTAATATTTTCCTCCAAATACTCACATGACTTGCTCCTTCACTTTCTTCAAGTCTTTGCTCAAATGTCCCCTCTCACTGAGGCCTCCCTGACTACCTGTGATATTGTGATTTATAAAAAGATATATATATAAAATATATATATATTTTTAATTTTCTGGGTTAGTTTTCTCTTGCTTATAACAGAATACCTGAAACAAGGTATATAAACAAAAAGGAATTTATTTTTTACAGTTATGGAGGCTGAGAAGTCCAAGGTTGAGAGGCTGCTCCTGGTGAGGGCCTTCTTGCTGTGGGGACTCTGCAGAATTTTTTTTCTTTTTCTTTCTTCGTTTTTTGCACTGTCACCCAGGCTGGTGGCACGATCTCAGCTCGTATGGTCGTACGGTGGAACGATCTCAGCTCATTGCACCCTCCACCTCCCGGGTTCAAGCGATTCTCCTGCATCAGCCTCCTGAGTAGCTGGGGCTACAGGCACACACGACCACACCTGGCTAATTTTTGTATTTTTAGTAGAGACAGGGTTTTGCCGTGTTGGCCAGGCTGGTCTTGAACTCCTGACCTTAGGCGATCGGCCTGCCTCAGCCTTCCAAAGTACTGGGATTACAGGCGTGAGCCACCATGCCCTGCCAACTCTGCAGAATCTTGAGCAGCGCAGGAAATCACATGGCAAATGGGCCGAGCGTGCTAGCTCAGGTCTGTCTTGCTCTTCTTTTTTTTTTTTTTTTTGAGACAGAGTCTCTCTCTGTCACCCAGGCTGGAGTGCAGTGGCGCTATCTCGGCTCACTGCAAGCTCCGCCTCCCGGGTTCACGCCATTCTCCTGCCTCAGACTCCCGAGTAGCTGGGACTACAGGCGCCCGCCACCATGCCCAGCTAATGTTTTATAGTTTTAGTAGAGACGGGGTTAGCCAGGATGGTCTCCACCTTCTGACCTCGTGATCTGCCCACCTGGGCCTCCCAAAGTGCTGGGATTACAGGCGTGAACCACCGTGCCCGGCCTGTCTTGCTCTTCTTGTAGAGTCATCAGTCTGATTCCCATAATAAACCATTAATCTGTTAACCCATGGATTAATCCATGAGCAGACTAATCCATTCATGAGGGCAGAGCCCCACGACCCAATCACCCCATAAAGTTCCCCCATCTTGCAGTACTGCCACATTGGGGATTAAGTTTTTATTTTCTAATTTATTTTTTATTAAATTTTTTTTTGAGACAGAGTCTCACTCACTCTGTTGCACAGGCTGGAGTGCAGTGCCGCGATCTCAGCTCACTGCAACCTCCACCTCCTGGGTGCAAGTGATTCTCATGCCTCAGCTTCCTGAGTAGCTGGGATTACAGGCATATGCCACCATGCCCGGATAATTTTTGTATTTTTAGTAGAGATGAGGTCTCACCATGCTGGCCAGGCTGGTCTTGAACTCCTGACCTCAAGTGATCCACCTGCCTTGGCCTCCCAAATTGCTGGGATTATAGGCATGGGCCACTGGGCCCAGCCAGGGATTAAGTTTCAACATGAGTTTCTGAAGAGACAAACATTCAAACCATAGCAATATTTGTCTCCAGTCCTTTGGCATAGAGTTCCTAAAACCCTTTAATTTCCTGAGTAATAGGGGCGTTAGGAGAATCTTTTGTTCTGATATTTGGTCTTTGATCTTGGTTCCTGACACAGAGATCCTGATCACTTGGAATTTCCTGGGTAATAGTAGCGTCTTTTTTTCTCATGGGGCACCTCTTGGTGGGCTCCTGGATAGGGCTGGTCACCAGAAAGACCAAGCCATGATTAGAAACTTGGAACTTTCAGCTCAGCTCCCCATCCTCCATGAAGGGGAGAGGGGCGGAAACCTGAGTTAGTAATTGGTGGTGCCTATGTGATGAAGCCTCCATGAAAATCCCTGAACTGTGGGGTTTGGAGAGCTTCCGGGCTGCTGAACACGCGGAGGTGCTGGAAGGGCGATGCACCCTGGAGGGGGCGTGGAAGCCACCTGCCCCCTCCCCCATACCTGGCCCAATGCATCTCTCCCATCTGGCTGTCCATCTGTATCCTTTGTAATATCCTTCCTAATAAACAGGTGAACATAAATAAAGTGGTTTTCTGAGTTCTGTGATCCATCCTAGCAAATTATCAAATCCAAGGAGGGCACCATGGGAACTCCAGTGTACAGCCTGTCAGTCAGGAACACGGGTCACAGCCTGGGGCTTGTGACTGGCATCTAAAGTAGGGGCAGTCTTGTGGGACTAAGTCCTTAAGCTGTGCAATCTGACTCTAACTCCAGGTACATAGTGTCAGGATTGAGTTAAATTGTAGATCACCCAGCTGGTGTTGGAGAATTGGTCGGTGTGGGGAAAACTCCACACACATTTTAGCAACCGGAGAGGAAGTATTCTCTGACAAGTATGACTGTAGAAGAGAAAGCAGTTGGTTTTTCCTATTATACACAACTCCATTTAAAATCGCAATAACCCCCGCACCTGCTCTGGCACTGCCAGCCTTCTTCCCTGCCGGATTATTCTCCATAGCACTTGTCTTGTCATCTAGCGTAGAATTTACTTGTTTGTTCGCTTCATTGTTCCTCCCCTCCCACCACCATCACCACCACTGGAAGGGAAGCTCTACAAGTCAGGAAGTTTGCCTGTTTTTTATTTTTCTTTTTATTATGTTCTGTAAAATCAGAGTTTCACTCTGTTACCTAGGCTGGTCTCCAGTTCCTAGCCTCAAGTGATCCTCCTGCCTCAGCCTCCCAAAGTACTAGGATTACAGGCATGAGCCGCTGCACATGGCCAGTTTTGTCTGTTTGATTCACTGATGCCCAGCACCTAGATTAGTGGCTGGCACACAGTCACCTTTAGTAAACGTGTCATGAATAAATGAATGCAGAAGCAGTGGCAGGGGTGAGCTAGTTAGTGAAGGATGGCCACTTCCGGATGAGGGAATAGCATGGAAAAGCACTAAAGGCAGAAGGAGTGTGACATGATCGGAAATGGACATTAGATGAATATAGCTGGAATGAGGGGCATGGAGAAAGGTGGCAAGAGACAGGAGCCGGTTTGCCTGCTAAGGTGTTTGGACTTCAGCCTAAAGGCAGCGAGGAATCGTTGAAAGGTTTCAAGGCCGGGCATGGTGGCTCACACCTGTAATCCCAGCACTTTGGGAGGCCCAGATGGGCGGATCACAAGGTCAGGAGATCAAGACCATCCCGGTTATCTACTAAAAATACAAAAAAAAATTAGCCGGGCGTGGTGGCGGGTGCCTGTAGTCCCAACTACTCGGGAGGCTGAGGCAGGAGAATGGCGTGAACCTGGGAGGTGGAGCTTGCAGTGAGCTGAGATCGTGCCACTGTACTGCAGCCTGGGTGACAGAGCGAGACTCCGTCTCAAAAAAAAAAAAAAGAAAGGTTTCAAGCTGGCAGAAGGGGGTCAGAGAGGTGATGAAATCTGATGTTAGTAATTTAGAAAGATCACTCTTGCAGAAAACATCAGCTTAGAGGTGAAGAGGCCAGCCCCACGGAAGCCACTTGCTTCTCATTTTAGTAACTCTGATGATCAATGATGAGGACCTGAATTAAGTCAGTGGCCAGAGCCATTGAGAGGAAAGGGGATGGATTTGAGAGGTATTTAAGAAGTAAAATCTTTATGACGTGGTAAACAAATCGTCTGTGAGGTATGAGGCAGAGCAAGAGGCTAGGACGACCACCAGACTTCTTGCTTGGGTGGCTTGAGGGATGTGATGCCTTTCCCTGAACTCTGGTGTAAAGCAGTCGTGCTGCCTTGCTAGCCATATTCCTGTGACTGGGCCATGAGGGCCCAGTGCTGATGGGGCACAAAGCCCAAGCCATTCGTCAGTGTTCCCTACGTGTGCAAGCCCAGCTGGTGACAGGAAGTCTGACCTGAGCCCCACTAGTCAGCAGCCTCTCCTTCATTAGGAAAGACCAAGCCTAGCATATAAACATTGCTTTAATTTGTTAGCCAGGGCTTTGTGGCTTCCTGCCGCCTTGACTGCCCTATGAAGCAACCAGAGAAGGAAATTACACATGGATTTCCTTAAAGAGAAGTTCAGATTTCTCTAAGGTTATAAAGATACAGGCAGCAGTGATCGTCACCACCACCGTCTGCCATGACAACTCATATGTCTGCAAAGCACAGTGCCATTGAGGTGCCTCTCTATGCCTCTGCGTTCTTGAGATCTTTTCCCTTAACTGAATGATGAAGGGAGTGATGAAGAGGGCCCTTTGCTAAGCAGCCTGGTGAACACTGAAGTCAATGATCACAGGAGTCAGATCACCCTTACTACTAAGTTCAAGCTATCTGAACTCCCTTCCAGAATGGGAATGAGGCAGGCTGCAGGATGTGGAGCCCGAGGGCAGCACCCAAGAAAATAGTCTAAAGCATCTTTTGCCTATCTCAGGGACCAGTGGGTGACAATTGGGTCTGAAGCAAAATACTATAAGCAGAGGTAGCAAGAGGGAGTAGGTGAATTCAGTAGAGTGAATGGGAAGCATCCTGGAAAGATTCCCTGAGTGTCTTGGGAAGGAGAAGCAGAGCCTTCCTGTACGTATGAAGAGAGCTGTGAAAGCAACACTCTTAAACTCAAGCAGCTTATAGAACAATGGCCCTGCAGTTTATGGAATGGAGGTGGCAGGGAGTAGCAATAATGGGGCTTAGGATTTAAGAACAGGCACTGTGGGAGGCAGAAGATTTGCATTCATTCATTTTAAAAGACTTTATCGAGTATCTACGTGCACATGAAATAATAGGTAGCAATATAAGATTGTCACATGAACAAATAAACAGCTCATTATAGGCTGGTGCAGCTGGAGGTGGCTTTGAATGCATATATAACTTCTAATGAAGTGTTATGCCTAATTAGTGGAGTAACGTATATAATTTTTGAACTGATGATGCTAAAGATGAGAAGTTTGAGTTACATATGCATTATTTGATGTTAAGACTTATACCCCATGATTTTGAAATAGCTAAGTTTCTTGGTCATCAACTGACCCTACTATGAATTTCAATGAGTGAATCAAGTCAGGAAGCCCACCTTCATAGTGAACATGTTTTAAATGATAATTGAAATAGAAACATTTTTGAGCTCAAAAGACCTTCATAGATTCTTTACTTTTACAGCTCTCTCTACCATTCTTTGTGTTGTTTTTTGTTTTTTGTTTGTTTGTTTGAGACAGGGTCTCCACCCAGGCTGGAGTGCAGTGGCGTGATCTCAACCAGTCCAGGCTCAGGTGATCCTCCCACCTCAGACTCCCAAGTAGCTGGGACTGCAGGTGAGCACCACCATGCCCAGCTAATTTTTATATTTTTCTAGAGTTTTGCCATGTTGCCCAGGCTGCTCGCGAACTCCTGGGCTCAAGGGATCCACCGGCCTCAGCCTCCCAAAGTGCTGGGATTACAGGTGTGAGCCACCATGCCTGGCCTGTACCATTCTTTGAAGGATAGATAGCTATCTTGAACTATGGAGAAATGATCTGAATTTGTAGACAGAAATGAAGAAAAGAACTTGTCTTGCATGGCCAAGTAGGTCTTGTATAACCTTATCACTCTGAATGGAAACAAATGGTTCTCTGGGGCATATATATAGAGAGAGAACATAGGTAGTATTCTATACTGCTACACAATACCAACTGTTTTTACTTTTACATATATGACAAACAGCATTGGAGAAACTAGCAAACCACTCCAAAAGAAACCACACTCTATATAATATAAATTTTTCCCCAAACTGCAATCATATCAGCCTGCTTGAGTACAGCAAAATGCATCTAGGTTACTGGGAAATCTTAGGGTGGCAGTGTTGTTCACTCTAAATATATTAGTGTTCCAGATAAAACTGTGGTTCCCTTTTTGCTGATATGTTTACAATTTCTTTGAATAGAAAAGAGGAAGTATTACAATATGAGAAAGTTTCCTTAAATAATGACGTGGCAAAATGTGTGAAATCTGAGAGGAAAAGCAAGCAGTTAAATTATTCATGAAGCTTCTCAACTGGGTTTTTCAATGAGATTGGTTTGTTTCAAATAATACATTGTGAAATATGTAATCTAACATACTTAGAGGAAATGAAGTTCAGTGAAATTGACTGTTGCATGAAGATAGCAGCTTACCAAAATACATAACCATAGTTATGAAAACTCATACATTGCTACGGAACTAATGGATCAGAAACACTGGAGAGTTTTTGCTTCTGAGGAACAGTCCACTTTCACCGCCTATCTTCAGAACCGCCACGGAGAGGGAGAACTAAGAACATCTAGCTGTTAATTTCCTGCATCATTGGTGCAGAATGTGGCACATTGTAAGAAAAAGTGACAAGCTCAATAGTCTAGGTTCTAAAAATATGCCCATTTTGGGCCAGGCACGGTGGCTCACACCTGTAATCCCAGCACTTTGGGAGGCTGAGGCTGGTGGATCACGAGGTCAGGAGTTCGAGACCAGCCTGGCCAAGATAGTGAAACCCCCATCTCTACTAAAAATACAAAAATTAGCCGGGTATGGTGGCGCTCGCCTGTAGTCCCAGCTACTTGGGAGGCTGAGGCAGGAGAATTGCTTGAACCCAGGAGGTGGAGGTTGCAGTGAGCCGAGACTGTGCCACTGCACTCCAGCCTGGGCAACAGAGTGAGACTCTGTCTCAAAACAAAAACAAAAAAAATGCCCATTTTGGGTTCTAGAATAAGCAGATAATGTGTTTTCAACATTTAAATGCTTCTTTCAGAAAAGAGATTTTATATATATATATATATATATATATATATATATATATATATTTTTTTTTTTTTTTTTTTTTTTTTTTTTGAGACAGGGTCTCACTCTGTCATCCAGGCTGGAGTGAGTCCTGTGGTGAGATCATACCTCACTGCAGTTTCAAACTCCTGGGCTCAAGCAATCCTCCTGCCTCAGTCTCCCAAGTAGCTGGGACTACAGGTACATGCCCGGCTAATTTTTAAATTTTGTTGTAGAGACAGGGTCTTGCTATGTTGCCCAGGCTTGTCTGAAACTCCTGGCCTCAAGCAATCCCACCTTGGCCTCCCAAAGTGCTGGGATTACAGGTGTGAGCCAACGCACCTGGCCAAGACACAGTATCTGATTCGCTGACATCTGAGGAGAGTAAGGATAATTTACAGTATCTGATTCATTGACATCTGAGGAGATTAGTGATAATTTACAAGACACTTCTTCTTCCCCGTGAGTGGCACTCGCTTTCTTAAACCAATAGCAAACACACTTTTCACCTTAGAGGACTTCACTGTCCCCGCGTGTTACTATGGCTGCATAACAAATCACCCGAAAATGGGGTGGCTTAAAGTACAACAATCATGCGTTACATCGTGTATTATCTCGCACCGTTTCCATGGTTAGAAATTCACACCAGGCGTAGAATGGATGGCTGGTTTCTGACCCACATTGTCAGGGATATCAGCTGGAAGACTCAAAGGCTGGCGCCTGGACTCTGAGGGATCATTCACTCAGGATCATGACAGCAGCTGATGCTTGCTCATGGCTGGGGACTAGCTGAGGATGTCAGCCAGAATTCCTCACTAGACCTGTCTGTGGCCTGAGTCTCCTTACTATGTGATGGCTGAGTTCTAAGGGTAAGGATCCCAAGAGAGAAGGAAAAATAAATGGAGGTTTCTTCATTTTTATGACCTAGCCTTCAAAGTCACATATTTTGTGACTTTTTGCCAAACTTCAATACTGGGGCAATCATAAGACAAGTCCCGGCTGGGTGCAGTGGCTCACGCCTGTAATCCCAGCACTTTGGGAGGCCGAGGAGGGCAGATCACGAGGTCAGGAGATCAAGAACATCCTGGCTAACATGGTGAAACCCTGTCTCTACTAAAAATACAAAAAATTAGCCGGGCGTGGTGGTGTGCACCTGTAGTCCCAGGTACTCGGGAGGCTGAGGCAGGAGAATGGCGTGAACCCGGGAGGCGGAGCTTGCAGTGAGCCGAGATCGCGCCACTGCACTCCAGCCTGGGCGACAGAGCAAGACTCTGTCTCAAAAAAAAAACAAAAACAAAAACAAAACAAAACAAAACAAAAACCAAGTCCCTGCCTAGATTCAAAGAGAAGAAACATAGATCCAACGTCTCTGTGGGAGAAGTGTCAGACTCATCATAGAAAAGGCATGTAGGATGCATGTAGTAATAAATATACAGGTGCAACCATCTTTAGAAAATACAAGGCTGGGTGTGGTGGCTCACGTCTGTAGGACCAGGAGTTTGGGACCAGCCTGGGCAACATGGCAAAACCTGTCTCCACTAAAAATACAAAAAATTAGCCAGGCTTGGTGGTGTGCACCTGTAGTCCCAGCTACTGGGGAGGCTAATGTAGGAGTCACCTGAGCCCAGGAGCTCGAGGCTGCAGTGAGGTAAGATCATGCCACTGCACTCCAGCCTGGGCAAGCTGAGTGACACCCTATCTCAAAAAAAAACCCAATCTGCCACAATGTGTTTCTAGAAAGGTATTGAAGGTTTATCTCATATTGCTACATAATTTGAATTTTAAAATATTTTATTATAAATATCTGCTCACGTGGAAAATTTAGAAAAAGATGAAAAGAATAGTCCAATATAGTCCTACCACCCAAATTAACCATAATTAGAGAAGATTAAAGTTTTCTTATAGTCAGACATACGATTTTCTGCTGTGGTTTCTTCGTTGCTTGTGTTCCCCAATTCTTTTTTTTTTTTTTTAGACGGAGTTTCGCTGTGTTGCCCAGACTGGAGTGCAGGAGCCTGATCTCAGCTCACTGCAACCTCCAACTCCCTAGTTCAAGCGATTCTCCTGCCTCAGCCTCCCGAGTAGCTGGGACTACAGGAGTGCACCACCACGCCCAGCTAATTTTTTGTATTTATTAGTAAAGACGGGGTTTCACCATGTTGGCCAGGATGGTCTCCATCTCTTGACCTCATGATCTGCCGGCCTCGGTCTCCCAAAGTGTTGGGATTACAGGCATGAGCCACCGCACTCGGCCTGTTTCCCAATTTTTAATTAAAAACTTGAAAGAGTAGTACAAAGAATACCATTTATTCTCCATATAGATGCAGATAATACTAACATTTTATTAATTCAATATTTGCTTTATCTCTTTTTTTCTTACTGAACCAATAGAAAGTTCATTTCACATATCATGATACCACCTGTAAATATTACAGTCACAACATGCATCTCCTAAGCATAAGGACGTTATACTGAGTAATCACAACAACGTTATCATCTCAAGAAATAGGCCCAGCGCAGTGGCTCATGCCTGTAATCCTAGCACTTTAGGAGGCCAAGGTGGGAGGATCACTTGAGGTCAGGAGTTCAAGACTAGCTTGGGCAACACAGCAAGACCACATCTCTACAAAAATAAAAATAAATAATAACAATAATAGTTTCATGATATCTAATAACATAGAATGGGCAATTCAATATTAACATACCCCCAATTATCCCATGATCTTTTTTTTATTTTTGGAGGCAGAGTCTCACTCTGTCCCCCAGGCTGGAGTGCAGCGGCACAATCTCGGCTCACTGCAACCTCTGCCTCCCGGGTTCAAGTGATTCTCCTACTTCAGCCTCCTGAGTAGCTGGGATTATAGGTGACTGCCACCAGGCCCGGCTAATTTTTGTATTTTTTGTAGAGACGGGGTTTCACCATGTTGGCCAGGCTGGTCTCAAACTCCTGACCTCAAGTGATCTGCCTGCCTCAGCCTCCCAGAGTGCTGGGATTACAGGCATGAGCCACCGCGCCCGGCCCCCATGACCATCTTTTATAGATTTTTTTAAAAATAATGATCCAATCGGCCGGGCACAGTAGCTCATGCTTGTAATCCCAGCACTTTGGGAGGCCGAGGCTGGTCGATCACGAGGTCAGGAGTTCAAGACCAGCCTGGCCAACTTGGTGAAACCCCATCTCTACTAAAAATGCAAAAAAATTAGCCGGGACTGGTGGCCGAAGCCTGTAATCTCAGCTACTTGGGAGGCTGAGGCAGAGAACTGCTTGAACCCAGGAGGTGGAGGTTGCAGTGAGCCGAGATCATGCCACTGTACTCTAGCCTGGGTTACAGAGCAAGACTCTGTCTTAAAAAAAAAAAAAAAAAAAAATCCAATCCAAACTAATATCTGGCATGTGGGTATCTTTGGTTAATGTCCTCATCTGGCTCCCGTGCCTCCGTACCTAAATCTGTCAAGTAAGGGGTTAGTGATGAGACCGTTGTCTACCCAGGGAGTTCTTGTGAGCATCATATTCACTTTCTTCAGCTGGGACTCACTGAGCACCTTCTGTGTGCTGGACATTGTCCAGAAGACAGTAGTACTCTTAGGAGCCTACATTCTAGAGAGATGGTAGAAAAGAACGGACTTTGAAAAGTTAACATCGCTAGGTAAATATAGGGCGTTATCATTTTAGGCTAAAGGATTGAAACAAATCTTGGGGAAAAAGCCTCCTTTGTACAAAAGAAAATGGATTTAGATTAAAATTAATTAGTTCTGTTCTGTGTAGGTGTTTGTTTACAAGCTCAATGAAGAGATCAGCAATACTGAGTAGAATGATAATTTTAGAGTTTAGAGTATATGAGAACACTGCGGGAGAGCTTCTACTCTTAATTAAATAAAATTACTTATACACATTTTGTCACATAATACAGTTAAGCACTGCATAACAGTTTCAGTCAATGATGGACCTCATAGACGACAGTGATCCCCTAAGGTTACAATAGAGCTGAAAAATTTCTATCACAAATACTTACCATTGTGTGATGATTTCCTTACACTATTCAGTACAGTAACATGCTGTACAGGTTTGTAGCCTAGGAGCAATAGGCCTGTATTGGTCTATTTTCATACTGCTATGAAGAAATACCCAAGACTGGGTAATTTTTAAAGAAAAAGAGGTTTAATGGATCCAGTTTCACATGGCTGGGGAGGCCTCACAATCGTGGTGGAAGGTGAAGGAGGAGCAAAGGCACATCTTCATGGTGGCAGGCAAGAAAGCACGTGCAGACTTATTCACTGTCGTGAGAACTGTATGGGAAAAACTCCCCCTATGATTCAATTACCTCCCACCAGGTCCCTCCCATGACACGTGGGGATTATGGGAGCTACAATTCAAGATGAGATTTGGATGAGATTTGGGTGGGGACACAGCCAAACCATATCAAGGCCTTACCTGATAGCCTAGGTGTATAGTAGGCTATACTATATAGATTTGTGTAAGTACACTCAATGATTTTCTCAGAATGTATCCTGAGATGACTGTATGACTGTATTAAATTTTTATTTTCTCAGTTATTATTTTCCTAAAAACTTAGTGAGCAAGAAAACCCTATAAGAATATAGAGATAGCAAGTCAGAGTTTCGAGCTGGAAGTGGCCTGAGAGATCGTCTAATCCAGATTCCACATTTTTACAGATGATCTGATCAGTGATCATTTTACAGGAATTTGCATGAAACTTAAGGCTCTAGACACACATGGTTTCCATATATAGAAGCCTGATTCCAAATCCTGTACATTAGACAAGACAATCAGAATCTTGTGTTATCCTGATTTTTGTTCTTCATCTTCCAGTTACATGGGTTTTCTTGTGAGAGCTGAAATAATAGTATCACCTTTGGGGAACGGTGACTGCCAGTTTTGGATCAATCTTAGGCCACTGGAAGGTTGGTGGATCTTCTCCAGCAATTCGGGCTGAACTCAAGCAAAGCTGAGTCTAAGATCAGTTTGGACCCTTTCCCCTGGAACAGCTGGCAGGCATTGCCTGTTCCTGTCCTTGGCTTTCAACTGCTGGACAACATGTTTGGGGAGTGTGTGCCAATATTTGGGTTTTTATTCTTCTGGTTTAACAGTTGTTAGTGCCGTTGGCTCTCAGGGAAATTCAGGACAATCTCCTTCTGTAGCTTTAAGGTTGGCCTGATTGGCAAGACAGTTGAGGACAAACTGAAGTCATTCGTTCATTCATGTGCCAGTGTCCCTGTGCTCAGAAACAGTTGTTTTAAGGATGGCAAAATGGAAGACTTGAGGATTTATGATAATACTGAATGGCTATCCTCTAGGGCACTGTTGAGTCTTAGCAGAGTCCCAAGCTCTACACTTACCCTGAGTTTTTAGGCTTCTTTGTTTTTCGGGTTTCTTTTTTTTTTTTTTTTTGCTTGTTTGTTTGTTTGTTTTGAGACAGTCTCACTCTGTCGCCCAGGCTGGAGTGCAGTGGCGTGATCTCAGCTCACTGCAACCTTCATCTCCTGGGTTCAAGTGATTCTCCTGCCTCAGCCTCCTGAGTAGCTGGGATTACAGGTGCCTGCCACTATGCCCAGCTAATTTTTGTATTTTTAGTAGTAATTTTGTATTTTTACCACGTTGGTCAGGCTGGTTTTGAACTCCTGACCTCAGGTGACCCACCTACCTTGTCCTCTCAAAGTGCTGGGATACAGGCGTGAGCCACTACGCAGGGCCCATTTCTTTGTTGTTTTTTTGTTTGTTTTTGAGATGGAGTCTTGCTCTGTCACCCAGAGCTAGAGTGCAGTGGTGCGATCTTGGCTCACTGCAACCTCTGCCTCCCGGGTTCAAACGATTCTCCTGCCTCAGCCTCCCGAGTAGCTGGGACTACAGGCGTGTGCCACCACGCCTGGCTAATTTTTTATATTTTTTTTACTAGATGCGGGGTATCACCATGTTAGCCAGGATGGTCTAGGTCGCCTAACCTCGTGATCCGCCCGCCTCGGCCTCCTAAAGTGCTGGGATTACAGGCGTGGCCCACTTTGTTTTTATTACTGAGGTTATTCTGTAGGTTTTCTGAAAATAAGCAATCAGCATCTAGGTCCAAATTTACAATTTGTAATGACATTCCAAAATTCATCAATGAATAAAACAATAGCTAGGAATGTCATGTTAATTATTTAAATACGTTGGAATCTGCCAATGTTCCCTTAAGCCTCCCTCCAAAGGAGGCCTGAAGTTGAGCGTATGACAAGAAAATATCTAGTAGAGTAGAACAAACTTAGTATTACACCGAAAGCCTAGGGAAGTATTACAGTCCAGCCATTGGGAACCTCAGAGGATTGTGGGGTGGACATGCCCTTCTAAATTGTGGCTCAAGTAGGGTCACATCCTTTCCTAGGTTTCCTTCATTGTGGCTGAGACTGGCAATAATTTCTTTTTTAAAACAAAATTTATACAGATAAGGCCTCACTATGTTGCCCAGGCTGGTCTTGAACTCTTGAACTCCTGGGCTTAAGTGATCCTCCTGCCTCAGCCTCCCAAAGTGCTGGGATTACAGATGTGAGCCACTGCACCTGGCCAAAAATCAATAGTTTCTGAAAAGAAGTTGCTGAATACTGTTGAGGAATAAAAGATGAATTAAATATGGAGAATAAAGGAAGCATAACACCAGCATGCTGGAATGCACCTGTAGTCCCAGCTACCCAGGAGGCTGAGGAGGGAGGATCACTTGAGCCCAGGAGTTCAAGCTTGCAGTAAGCTGTGATTGCACCACTGTACTCCAGCCTGGGCAACAGAGTGAGACCCTGCCTCAAAAAAAAAAAAAAAGAAGAAGAAGAAGCATAACATTATTTATTCTAGTCATTCATTCAACAAATATTCATTGAATACCTAATATGTGCTGGAGATATGAACTGTGAACAAAACTTTATAGAAAGCTTACAGTTTTTAATATCCTTTTTCTGATTAAAGAGGAAAACAACTTGCAAACTGCAAGGAGACACAAAATAAATAAAATGTTTAAATCACCTGTGCAAAATACAAAGGACACTAAAGAAAATTTGAAATTATCATCTGTGGTCTCTGTTTTCATAGAGCTTCCACTCTGGTGGTAGAAGTGGTACTTGGGGGCTGGACACAGTGGCTCACGCCTATAATCCCAGCACTTTGGGAGGCCGAGGCAGGCAGATCACTTGAGGCTAGGAGTTCGAGACCAGCCTGGGCAACAAGGCAAAATCCTGTCTCTACTAAAAATACAAAAATTAGCCAGATGTGGTAACATACGACTGTAGTCCCAGCTACTCAGGAGGCTGAGGTGGGAGAATCGCCTGAGCCTGGGAGGTCAAAGCTGCCATGAGCCAAGATCACACCACTGCCCTCCAGCATGTGCGACAGAGCGAGACCCTGTCTCAAAAATATATAGTGGTACTTGGGAAGCCAGACAGTAAACAAAGATGAACTGGTGCTGTGAAGAAAAAGCAAGGTAAGAGGACAAAGAGCGGGGGGAGAAGGTGCACTCTAGGTAGGGTGGTCAGGGAAACCTCTTTGACAAAGCCTATGGGGCTCATTCTATCCCTTTCTAGTCCCAAAGGGCTGGCCCAGCTGTGCCAGCACCTGGCTTACCAGGTCTCAGCAGTTCCCACAGGAAGGATCTTCCACACAGAAGCTGGCTTTCCTGACAATTTGGATCGTTGTAGCTAAGGACCAGGGCCTCTGTGGTTGACCTGAGACTTGCCTCTTTGTTCTAGTTTCTGGTCTAGGAGCGTGTAATAGTCTCCTAAGGCTGCTATAACAAAACACCACAAATGGTGTGCCTTCAAACATCGGAAATGTATTATCTCAGTTCTGGAGGCTCAAAGTCTGAAATCAAGGTGTCAGCAGGGCCTGACTTCTGCCAAGGCCTCTAGGGAAGAATCCTTCCTTGCCTCGCCCAGCTTCTGGTAGCCCCAGACATTCCTTGGCTTGTGGCAACATCACTCCAACCTCCACCACCTTCGACGTGGCCATCTCCCCTCCGTGTCTGTTTTCCCTTCTGATTGTATGAGGACCCACCCTATTCCAGCATGACGACTTAATTAATTGCACTTGCAGTGCCTCTATTTCCGAAAAAGGTCACATTCTGAGATACTGGGGGTAGGACTTCAGCATACCTTTTTGGGGAACACAGTTCAGCGCATAACAGAGACCAAGAGTCCAGGCCCAAGGGCTAGGGTGATTTTTATAATGATGACATAATGACACATACTGAGGGTGTCTCGGTGCCTCCATTTCAGACCAACTATATGACAACACTTAAACTGAGTAAAAAGCACAATATTCCTACAATATGAATTGCACTCATTCTGTAACAAAAGGGACATGAAGTCATACCTTTGTTTTATTACTAACTGTATATTGTTTGATAGTAAACAAGTTGACATGACTTTGGAGGAACAGGGTATACCTGTTTGATATTTTTCAATTTGGAGTGGTCATAAGAATAGCTACTGTTTTACAAGTTTACTCATTTAATTTTCACAGTCATCCTAGGAGGATGAAACTACTGTCATTTTGCATTTTACAAATGAAGAAACCGAGACAGAGTGGTCAAGTACCTTGTCCAAAGCTGCTCAACTAGGAAGAGACAGAGCCAGGAGAGCAATGAAATGTTAATAGCTTTACAAATCCCTGTAATTGTCATTTGTTTCTATATTGGGTGGATTTTTTTTTTTTTTTTTTTTTTTTTTTGAAACGGAGTTTCGCTCTGTTGCCCTGGCTGGAGTGCAGTGACGAAATCTCTACTCACTGCAACCTCTGCCTCCCGGGTTCAAGAAATTCTCCTGCCTCAGCCTCCCGAGTAGCTGGGAATACAGGAGCGTGCCACCACGCCCAGCTAATTTTTTATGTTTTTAGTAGAAATGAAATTTCACCGTGTTAGCCAGGCTGGTCTCAAACTCCTGACCTCAGGTGATCCGCCCACCTTGGCCTCCCAAAGTGCTGGGATTAGAGGCGTGAGCCACCACCCCTGGCCTGGGTGGATTATTTTTAAAGGATTATATATAATCAAAAAGAATGGCAAGTCTGAATCTTTTCAGTAATTATTTTTAAACCATTTGAGAGGCCTTCCTAGTTGTATATTCAAGCATAGTCCTTGGTCATAAGCACACACCAATTTTGTCTTTCTCCCAAAAGGTCACGAATTATGAAACTAAGCAAAAGCAGGAGGCAACCAGATAAAAGTGGGGAAACATATTCTCCTTTTAATCCGTAGGCTCTTTGGTGAGTTACATCAGGAACTCATGACCTCCTTTGGCTTTCAGTAACTGAAGCCTAGTATATGACTTTAGTACAATAAGATTTTATTTCGTAAAATGAGGCACATAGCCACTTTAAAAATAAAGACACAAATATCTCTTCTGTGGCATAAGATAATAAAAATATTACTTAAGCCGTAAATCTGAAGCCGAATTAATTCTGTATACATTTTCCTGCTACAGAATGTCACTTTTATACGATTATATTTAAAGACACATACAAAATTGTTAGTATGTAATTGATGGTTATACTATATAAAAGAAAAGTAATTAGTCTTTTCCATTTGTTTGCAAAGTAAAAAAAATTATATCTCAAAAAGTCACACTGACCACAAACTCAATAACAAGAAGGCGTGGGGAAGTAAGGGACCTTTGATGAGGTGGAAAGATCAGTCACTGTTGGGAACCTGTAAGAATAAGAACATGCAGCTCAGTCAGGAAGGAAACCCCAGGGTTCAAGAGATAGAGCTCTTTTTTTTTTTTTCTTTTTTTTTGAGACAGGGTCTTGCTCTGTCGCCTAGGCTGGAGTGCAGTAGCATGATCTCGGCTCACTGCAACCTCCACCTCCTGGGTTCAAGCGAGTCTCCTGCCTCAGCCCCCCAAGTAGCTGGGACTAAAGGCATGTGCCAACATGCCCGACTAGTTTTTGTCTTTTTAGTAGAGACGGGGTTTCGCCATGTTGGCCAGGCTGATCTTGAACTCCTGACCTCAGATGAGCTGCCTGCCTCGGCCGCCCAAAGTGTGGGGGTTACAACTGTGAGCTACCAGGCCCGGCCCAAGAGATAGAGCTCTTTAGGAGGAGATACTAGTCTCACTAGATCCAACATAAATGGATTGAACCAGAGCTAAAAATTCCACCTGCCTCTCACAGAATTAATTTTAAAAGAAAATACCATCATATGGTATTCCTGTTTTCATTTTTACCAGCAGGGTCCTTCTGTTTCATTACTCCAATCTTTAATTCTTTTCTGGAGTTCTGGAGTTGCTGTTAGCATTAGAAAAGTTTTGCATGTGATAGCTGTTTCCTTAAATATCATGCAAATATTCTTGAAAGCATCCTCAATGCTGTTGAAGTGCAAAAAAGGAAACTAATATTCATCAGACACCTACTAAATATCTGGCAGTATTCTAGGTATTGTACATAGGGTATGTAATTTCGTTCTCAGAACAGCTCTGTGAGGTGGGCGCTATTATTATTCCAGTTTACAGATGAGGGAATAGATGCTTAGGGAGAGGCAAGGCTTAGGGTCTTCAGAGCAATGAGGCGAATGGCAGGGTATAAAGCCCTTAGCCTCTTACCTCTCTTGTCTTCTATGAGCCTGTTGCTGGTTATAAACTTGCTTGAAAAGTTTGCTCTTAGTGCTAAATTGTGCAACTCAGACACACTAAAACAACTATTTATTGTACACACATCGTGCCAGACACTTTTCATGCAACACCATTAATTTAATCTCTACAGTGGCAGCCCTGTGAAGTTAGTATTATTTTCCAATTTTATTGCCAAGGAACCTGGGACAGAATGTAAATCAAGGTACTGTTTCCTTCATTGAGAAAGTCTGACTTTGGAAAAAAAGTCAGCCAAGTTAAGTAGTGTGTTGAGTGGCGTGGCTCATTTTATTTTCTGGTGCAAGCCCCTTATCTCCTCGCAGCCTCGTACAGACAGTTTGGGATCCACACTTGGAGTGGCATTGGCTTAGAAAAGGTCAACTACAGCCAGGCGTGGTGGCTCACACCTGTAATCCCAGCACTTTGGGAGGCTGAGGAGGGTGGACCATTTGAGGTCAGGAGTTCAAGACCAGCCTGGCCAACATGGTGAAACCTCATCTCTACTAAAAATACAAAAATTAGCCAGGCGTGGTGGTGAGTGCCTGTAATCCCAGCTACTCAGGAGGCCGAGGCAGGAGAGTTGCTTGAGCCTGGGAAGTAGAGGTTGCAGTCAGCCAAGATCACGCCACTGCATTCCAGTCTGAGTGACAGGGTAAGATCCTGTCTCAAAAAAGAAAAGAAAAAGAAAAGGTCAACGACGTCACTCATCGCCTCACAGGTAATGAGTGTGGAGACAGAATTCCAAGCAAACTGTGCTCTTTCCCAATACCACATTATCCTTCCAGTATTCAAGGAATGAAATCATGGCCTCAGCAAACAACTCTGCAGAATTTTCTCCTGCCACAGGGCTTTCCTTGTCCCGTTCCTTGCAATAATTTTGCAGCATGTATATTATATTAGAAAAACAATAGCTACTTAAATGTTCCATTAGAATTATAGAAGGCTGTGATACTGGTACATGGTAATTCATGGAGGTGAGCACCAGAAATTAAAGTAAGACATAAGATTGTCCTCTGAAAATAAAACAAGTGATGTCTGTACCCATTATGGATAGAATTATCCATCCGTGGGATTAAATCAAGAGACTGTGAATAAACGTGTGGTTGAGATGCATGGAAACGCCCGATATACCACTCACAGTGTCCCAGAAACAATGCCAGGGAGAAAAGCCTGATTGTCGCTTCATCAGCAAAAACCCAAATCTGTTGTACTCTGCCCTGTGTGGAATGACCTTGTGCTTAGAATGGCAGTAGTGCGGGAAAGGAAGTCGGAGACCCAGAGTTGGCTGTGTTGATCTAGAACAGACTGTTCTCTGTTGAGAGGCAATTGTGAGTCACCAGGCTTCCCAAACCTTCAAAACAATCCCCACAAGCCATGTACAGTGGTGCATGCCAATAGTCCCGGCTTCTCAAGAGGCTGAAGCAGGGGGATTGTTTGAGCCCAGGAGTGTGAGGCTATGGTGCACACTATATGACAGGCATGACAGTGCCTGTGAACGGCCACTGCACTCCAGCCTGGGCGACAAAGGGAGGGTCTGTCTCTAAAAAAAAAACCACCCCCCCAAAAAAAATAAAAAACCCTATCACCCCATTTACTCTTTGATTTTTTTTTTTTTTTTTTTGACGGAGTCTCGCTTTGTCGCCCAGGCTGGAGTGCAGTGGCCCGATCTCAGCTCACTGCAAGCTCCACCTCCCGAGTTCATGCCATTCTCCTGCCTCAGCCTCCGGAGTAGCTGGAACTACAGGCGCCCGCCACCACGCCCGGCTAATTTTTGTATTTTTTGTAGAGACGGGGTTTCACTGCATTAACCAGGATGGTCTTGATCTCCTGACCTCGTGATCTGCCTGCCTTGGCCTTCCAAAGTGCTGGGATTACAGGCGTGTGCCACCGCGCACAGCCTACTCTTTGATTTCATGTTCACCAAGCCATATTTTGATTACTCGGTTTCCCACACATCTCACTATCTGAAGAGAGGATTCTCTGGATCAGGCCTACAGGAATCCCAGTTAAAGCAAAGAAATATCCACTATTATCAATCAGTAAGTTAGAATTTTGGTTTCTAGATACACTTCTTAGGATTGTGGTTCCCACAAGTCAGTCTCCTTGAGACAGATGAGCTCTAGGAGTCCTGGCATGACCAAGTTTTCTCCAAGAGCAAGACTGGAGCCAGGTTTGTGGTGCTGTCACCGGGAGAGGGCCCGCCTGGCTGCCAGCCAGATGCCATCTCGCTCATCACCCCTCCTTTCAACCTTCACAAATGAGTGCAATTGTTGGCTACATAAAATGCCAGGAAATAAGTAAAAGTCCGAGAGGGTATGAAAATTTATCAGAAGGCTAAAAATGAGTAAGAAATCAGACCGCATAAGAATTGAGAACATAATAGGGACCACGTGGTTCAGAAAAGTGGCAAGGCAAGAACAGGCAAAGGCTTTGGAAGAGAATGAAAGTACAGTCACGTTGTAGGGAGAAATTTTCATGGTGTAGATAGAAGACGCTCTGTCATATAGTGATAGGTAGACTCAAGAAAAATCAGAAAGCAATCAAGATGGGATGGGACGTGGGATTAGGAAGGTCAAAGGACTAAAATGCAGCGGCGGGAGGATGATAGCCTCAGCCGGTGTGGCACGGGGAGCATTTTCATTGCACATCCTTCTGGGGAAAGACAATGAGCTAAAAAATAAAAGCTCAAACCTCCCGTATTTATGGAACTATCGTATAACTTTAGATTGCTTCATCTTTTTGCCATCTAAAACCTCTCAGAGGCTGGGCGCAGTGGCTCACACCTGCGTGAATTTGAAATGGCAAGGGACAGACAGACTTCTCCAATGGAACCAAGTCTTCAATCAGAACCGGTTTAACACCTCAGCATAAATCATATCCCAAGGAGCTACTCGGAACCTTAAGCTGCTTTTCTTTCTTTCTTTTTTTCAGGGTCCAGTCGTCGACCATCGAGCTGCTTTGAAGACCCTGCGGAGGTTCCGTCGCTGCTTGAACACAGTGCCTGGACTCCCTGCTCCGTGAGGCGAATTTACACCGGGTCCAGCTGCGTCAGCCCGAGTTCTGAATTAAAACATGCCTCCCACAGAATCTATTTCTGATGAATATGAAAGGAAGATTGTTCTTCCATGTTGGTTTTTATTGAGATATCTCTTTTTTTCCCTTTTCATTTGGTTGTCCTAACTCCATGAATAGAAAAGAAAATGTATTAATTCATTTTTTAATTTTCTTTTTTATTATTTTGTTAGTGTTTCACTTTTTTTCTGCACTACACAGATGTAGTGTATTCATTCATTTTTTTAAAAAAAAAGGCTGGGTGCAGTGGCTCACACCTGTGATCCCAGCACTTTGGGAGGCTGAGGCAGGTGAATCACGAGGTCAGAAGTTCGAGACCAGCCTGGCCAAGATGGTGAAAGCCCGTTTCTACTAAAAATAAAAAAAAAAAAATTAGCTGGGCGTGGTGGCAGGCGCCTGTAATCCCAGCTACTTGGGAGGCTGAGGCAGGAGAATCACTTGAACCCGGGAGGCAGAGGTTGTAGTGAGCCGAGATCGTGCCACTACACTCCAGCCTGGGCAACAGAGCGAGACTCCGACTCAAAACAAACAAGCAAACAAACAAAAACAGCTGAGTGTGGTGGCTCATGCTTGTAATCCCAGTGACTCTGGAGGCTGAGGCAGGAGAATCACTTGAGGCCAAGAGTTCACAACCCAGCCTGGGCAATATAGGGAGACCCTGTCTCTACAAAAAAATTTTAAAAATTAGCCAAGCATGGTGGTGCATGCCTGTAGTCCCAGCTATTTGGGAGGCTGAGGCAGGAGGATCACTTGATCCAGGTGTTTGAGGTTGCAGTGAGCTATGATAGCACCACTGCACTCCAGCCTGGGCAACAGAGTGAGACCCTGAATCTAAAAAAAAAAACCCGTGAATGCCGACTATATGCTAGGTGCTTTGCTAAACACCGAGGAAAAAAAGATGACAAAGACTTTTTTTTTTTTTTTTTTTTTTGAGATGGAATCTTACTCTGTCACCCAGGCTGGAGTGCAGTGGCACGATGTCGGCTCACTGCAACCTCCACCTCCCGGGTTCAAGTGATTCTCCTGCCTCAGCCTCCTGAGTAGCTGGGACTACAAGGCACTCGCCACCACACCCGGCTAATTTTTGTATATTTAGTAGAGATGGGGTTTCACCATTTGGGCCAGGCTGGTCTTGAACTCCTGACCTTATGTTCCACCCGCCTCGGCCTCCCAAAGTGCTGGGATTATAGGCGTGAGCCACCACACCCGGCCAACAAAGACTTTTTTTTTTGTCCTAACAAAGCTCACAGTGTAGTCGGGAAAATAATTTATAAAAAGTAATTAGAACATAGCGTGATGGATGCTGTAATGGACCCTTGTTGTATTTCCTATTTCAAGGCACCAGGCTTCTCAAGCATGTGCAGATGGCACCATGATTCATTAACTTCCTTTGTCTGGAGTGCCCCTTTGATTAACTTGGTGCTAACACATCAGATAATAGTGGCAATTATAGTGGAAGATTTTATTTCTAGTTCATTAAGCTGGAAGTGTTTTGTTTCTCTTTCATACGTAAACCATGTTTTGTTTCCTATCTAATTATCCATGTTGATGTTTTAAAGTGGGCATGATAATAGATTTTATTTTGTTTGCAGTTGTGTCATAAGGGTAATTCCTTCTAAAGAAGAAAAAGAGAGACAGGGACTGAGGGACCACTGGTGGTTCTGGCTAGGTTTACCAAAAACTAAAAATGATGTTGAGCAAAAATCTTCCCATTGAAACAAGATGGAGTAGGTAATTTTTAGGGGCCTGACTCTGATAATCTATTATTTATATAAGAAATTATACATTAGGTCGACTAACATTCCAAACCAATGACCAGCAACTCAAAAGAAAAATCATAATACAGTGATTCAATATAGCCTGACATTTACGTAGAATAATTCATCCAAAGCAATGGAGAAATATCTTCCATACTATCACAGTTTGTTGCGTATCAGATAACTCATTGAAGCTATAGAAATAAGAACAATATTTGCTATTGCACATATTTGGTAGCAGTTCCACTTACTATGTATTTTCACACATAATCCTCACAATAGATAAGGTAACTGAGGCTTGGCTAGCTTAAGGTCTTTATCTATGGATGCACAAGTTGCATAGGATAGCACCAGAGATCAAAATTCAAATTTACATATTTTTTGCCCAAATTCAGGACTTTTCATATTTCAATACGCTGTTTCCCGGCCGGTCCAGTGGCTCACACCTGTAATCCTTGTGCTTTGGGAGGCTGAGGTGGGAGGGTCACTGAAGGCCAGGAGTATGAGACCAACCTGGGCAACATCGTGAGTCCTCGCCTCTACAAAAAAGTTTTTAGGCCAGGCACAGTGGCTCACGCCTGTAATCCCAGCACTTTGGCAAGCCGAGGCGGGTGGATCACCTGAGGTCAGGAGTTCGAGACCAGCCTGGTCAACATGGTGAAACCCCATCTCTACTAAAAGTACACAAATTAGCCAAGTGTGGTGATGGACCCTGTAATCCCAGCTACTTGGGAGGCTGAGGCAGGAGAATCGCTTGAACCCGGGAGGCGAACGTTACAGTGAGCCGAGACTGCGGCACTGCACTCTAGCCTGGGCAACAGAATGAGACTCCATCTCAAAATAAATTTTAAAAATAAATGTGCTAATGGGGTTGAACCTGTTGCATTTGTGTTAGGAGTCTGGTCTAGGATAACACATGGCCCACTCTGGATGTTTTGGCCTGTGGGCGCCTGATGGTCTCGGGGGAGTTGAAGGCTGACACGAAGTTGGAGATGCTGTTTCAGATCTTCTCCATTCCAGGAGGTTGACAGTGTGCAGGTTTGAAGTGTGCCCCCAAAAATACCAAAGGAAAGAAATGATTCTAATTAAATAATGTTTACAAAAGTACTTAACGACTTCACCAACAATGTCATTGCATGTCTTATTGAGACTGATTCTATTTAAATGGTTTCTATGATACATCAGCTGGAATTATACTCAAGTTTGCCAAAATTGTTTTTCCCACATCATTTTATCCTTTAGTGTTTGTGCAGCATGACTCCATCTGAGTCTTACCAAGTGCGGGACCGTATTTCACTCTTTGAAACCTTCATGATCTTCAAATTGAAAAACTCTTGAATTTTTTTTTTTTTTTTTAGCAGAGTCTCGCTCTGTCACCCAGGCTGGAGTGCAATGGTGCAATCTTGGCTCACTGCAACCTCCACCTCCTGGATTCAAGCGATTCTCCTGCCTCAGCCTCCCAAGTAGCTGGGGTTACAGGCGCCCGCCACCACTCCCGGTTAAGTTTTATATTTTTTTTGTAGAGATGGGATTTCATCATGTTAGCCAAGCTGTTCTTGAACTCCTGACCTCAAGTGATCTGCCTACCTTGGCCTCCCAAAGTGCTGGGATTTACAGGCATGAGCCCTCACGCCCAGCCAAAACTCTTGATCTTCTTTTCCTGTCTTTGAAGACTGTAACTCAAAGAGAATAATTCTTAGACTCTGGTGCTGGTGTGTTTATCTCCACCCTTCTGTTTTGGAGGTTAAATGTTCCCACTCTCTACTCTCTGTTCTGCTGAAATGCCGTCTCCCCAGCCTTATTTACTAAAGGTTTACCAAGTGTCTGTTTTCCAAAAGCTGCTCCACTGAAGAGGCAATTTATATTTGAGATAGAATTAAAAGATTGCATAATAGGCTGGATGTGGTGGCTCACACTTGTAATCCCAGTACTTTGGGAGGCAGAGGCAGGAGGCGAGCTTGAGCTGAGGACTGCGAGAGCAGCCTGGATGACAGAGTGAGACTCTGTTTCCAGAAATAATAAATAAATGCAATTAAATTTGCCAAGTGTTTATGTCAGTGTTGTGGGAAATTTTAAAAAATAAAAATATTTATTTTTATAGGTTGCAGTGAGCCAAGATTGCACCACTGCACTCCAGTCTGGGCCACAGAGAGAGACTCTGTCTCCAAAATAAATAAAAATAAAAATATTAAAATGAAATAAAATTTGCCAAGTGCATTAAACTTTCATGAT